>NC_000004.12:178921381-179224411 GCF_000001405.40 Homo sapiens | reverse complement strand
TCAACTATGGAGGCGGCTATGAGGGTAGAAGCTACCTGCTCATGCAGCTTGCTAGTGTCTCTGGTCATGCTTGTGCTTGATTCTTCACATAATTCTTACATTTATAAAACACTGGTCTGGTTTCACTCTACTTTACAGACTGGTGGATCTGGCAGAATCTAGCTCATGTTAAAGATAAACAAATCCAACATTATTTAAAGCACTGCAAATGTCCAGACGTGGTGGCTCACACCTGTAAACCCAGCACTTTGGGAGGCCGAGGCGGGAGGATCACTTAAGTTCAGGAGTTCAAGAGCAGCCTGGCCAACATAGTGAAACCCTGTTTCTACTAAAAATACAAGAATTAGCCGGGCATGGTGGTGGGTGCCCGTACTCCCAGCTATTCGGAAGGCTGAGGCAGGGGAATGTCTTGAACCTGGGAGGCAGAGGTTGCACTGAGCTGAGATCATGCCACTGCACTAGCCTGGGTGACAGAGCAAGACACCATCTCAAAATACATAAATAAATAAAAATAAAAATAAGACACTGGAAAGTAACTACTGACAGTAGGGGAAAGAGCTCCATTCTGATTTGAACAGAGGTGACTGGGTGTTTTAGAGGGAGAATGGGAAAGTAGGAAGAGAGAACGAGGAGACTCAAGTGAAAAATTATGGCGCATTTGTCAGTGTAAATGTGATTGGGCCAGCTGTGTCTGCTAGCTGGCAATTATAAAAGTTAGGATTCTATTCTTTCATACAGACTGGGAGACAGAGGCCTAACCTTCCTGGAGACTGTATTTTAAAGGAGTGGCTTTTCAGGTCCTTGAGAAAAATATCACTGAGTTGTCGAATATTTCTTAATATGAGAGGCCTCTGAAATTTCTTGAAGCTTATCATTTACCCTCTGGAATGCACATTCCTAGCAATTCATTTAATAGAATAAATGCTTCTTGATCATCTGGTGCAATTAGCATAATATCTCTGCCATAATGCATGAATGTGGTATGTATAATACCCAGATGGTCCATTTCTCTTTGGACTTCTTATGACAGAGAACATGAGAGTTCACATAGCCCTGGCCAAGAACATCCCCGCTTGGTGATTGTGAACCATTCTTGATTCCATATCTTGGCAAGAATTAAGTGCGTGCACACACACACACACACACACACACACACACACACATCATCCGAAGCTATAATCATTTACCATGTACCTGAGTCTGAGGTAATGAGCCCTTGCAAAGATATCACATCTGACACAGCAGCTGCAGTAGTCTACTTTCATTCTTGAGAAACTATCTCATTTCTACAGGTGCCATGCAAGGAATTAAATAGAGATCTGACAGGGGCTACATTCCTTGCAACCTATAGAACTTTAAGTGTGACACTAATTCTGTCCCCATTCCCAGAATTTTTTTAAATTTTATTTAGGCCCTTGTCTGGTAGAGGAAAGTTGTTCTAATCAGTTTTCTGCTACTATAACAGAGCATCACAGATGGGGTAATTTATAATACACATAAATTTTTTTGGCTGGTGGCTCTGGAGACTGGGAAGTCCAAGAGCCTCATGCCAACACTGGGTGAGAGTCATCCCATGGGGAAGACATCACATGGCAAGGAAGCATATGTGTGAGTACAGGTATGAGAGAGAGAGAGAGAGAAAAAATCAGGCCAAACTCATCATTTGTCAGGAGCCCATTCCCATGACAATGGCCTTGAATCATTCATGAGAGCTTGGCCCCTGACCTAATCACCTCTTATAGACACTGCCCCCAATTCCATTATATTGGAAATTAAATTTTAACATGAGTTTTGGCAGGAACATTTAAACCGTCGCAGAGGTGTGGTTTCAGATGCTTCCACTTAGCCATCTGCACTATTATATGCCCTAACCTGGAGGTCAAGGAGTCCATGTGAGGTTAAACCAACTACCGAATATGTCTATTCCAATTATACATCTGAGGACCAAGAAAATATTCCTGCATGACTCTCCAGATCTAGTGGACCCATTGAGAGTCAGACCTTAGCCAGCATTAATTACCTGATCCCCATAACACCCTCGAGGGCTCATGGTAGCTTTTCAGTTCTCACATATCAGTGTCTCCCCAGACCCTATTCATGTCATTCTTGAAAATGTTTGGGAATTCCCCTTAACACAGTGTACAGTTATCTGAATATATGCTATACATCCATTGTGGAGAGGATGGAGAGAGTTACTAACATGTACACTTACCATTGGTCTTTCAGGGCTTACTTTGTGAAAAATGACCTCCTCTTCAAACAATAGACTCTGGACTGAGAACTGGCTTAGTTCTGAAAGCAGCAAGGGGTTTAATGTGTTATTGGTGTACTAAGTTGAGTAGTGCTTGCTCCACAGTTAATGCCCATCTAAAACCTCAGAATGTATCCTTAGAAAACAGTCTTTGAAGAAGTTTTTAGTTAAGATGAGGTCATAATTAATTAGGGTGGGCCTAAATCCAATGACTGATGTCTTTTTAAGAAGATAAGACTATGTAAATACACACAGAGAAGAAGTCACCTGAAGATGGAGGCAGAGATGAATGTGTCTACAAGCCAAGGAATGCAAAGGATTGCCTGTAAAAGTGGAAGCCAGGAGAGAGGCCTGGAACAGATTCGCTCTCAGAACCTTAGTTTTTTTGAACTTCTGGCCTCTGAAACTAGGAGAGAATAAATTTCTGTCGTTTTAAGCCACTCAGTTGGTGGAAAATTGTGGCAGCTCTTGGAAAGTAATATAATTGATGACTGCCTTTAATTCTTTAATAGCCTGTCTTTTATTCTTCTCATGGTGCAAGCTGAGAACCACCTTTGCTATCTGATGATATATTTTTACACTAATAAAGCTGTGCTGTATTATCTATGGGTTAGGACACTGTAGCTGCTACTCTAACCTTACTGGTCATTACAATAATTGAAAACACCTGGCTCTTGGCAGTCAAGCATTGCCACATAGTCCCTGTTTTCTCAAGATAATACTGTCCCATTGGTATCAAAGAGCCAAGCACTACAGCAAAATTTTACCATCAGTCCTGGTTCACAGATGAGAGGCACCAGAAAACATTTCAATGATGCTGGTGGCCCTATCACCAGGGTATTGTCTATGGGCTTGGTAACTGTTCTAAACTGCACAACTTCCCCTTGAATTAGATTCACCACTTGGTAGGTACTCAGCTTTACTTAGTTCATTTGCTCCAACATGACCCCTTCCTTGAGTCAATTCCCTCCCGCACTGTCTGCTTTGTCAATTCCATCAGGTCAACCACACTTAACATCGGCCATAATTTTCTTTATGTTTCTGGGAGCAATTCCTGTAGCAAAACAAACAAACAAAAAAATGAAAAAAAACCCCACAAAAACAGCAAAAACACACCTGCATTACTGAGTATAGCCTTTTTTAGATATAGATTTCGCTGAAGGTAGATCCTGGACAAGTGCTCAGTTTTTTAATCCTCTCAGTGCAGATGAGACTTTCCTTGTATGCTACTAAGGCGACCTTCTGTTTTTTACATGTAGCTTTGAATTTTCTATATTTTCAGCCTTTATTTATAGTTTCCTAGATCTTCAATAGAAATTAGCAAAATCAACCAAATACCATCATTTTTATAGTTCTGATTTCTCCATCAGCTTGTTCATTCCCTTTTATATACCATTCCAGTTCAACACCAGTGAGATTTTTAACAATTAGATAGTTACCTGGAAGAAGAGTTACCTATGTTCTCTTACATTGCCAGTTGTGTAATAAGGGATCCAACTCCAACACCCACATTATTGTCTAATCTCAGGCTGCACCTGTTACCAACCCTCATAATTCAGAGTCTCTGGGAAACAGACCTGAAAGAGACAGAATGTAGCATGCAGGACATTTATTAGGAAATACCCTAATTTATTAGGGATCAGTAGTTCTGGAGAAGGGAGAAGTGGAGCTGTGATATGAGATCTGTCAGAGCCCAGACCAACCCTACATGGAACTCTGGAGCTAAAATGACCCTTAAAGGTTATCATACTTTGGGCCACAATGACTGTGCCTTCATCAATATGATACAGTGCAGAAAGGTTGTAACCTTTGAGTAAGAAGTCTCTCTTGTGCTGAGGCAATTCCTAACAAGGCTAAGCTGGTATTCTGAAATTACCAAACTGTCTTCTAAGAGCTACTACCAGTGCTTTGAATAACACTGGCATACATTTTAACTTATTTCCCCGACCAGATTATAGTTTCTATGAGAGCTGGATGAGTATATGATTATGCTTTGTAATGTATCTCTCACACCTATTAATGCATATGACACATAGTAGATGTCTTATAGGTTTTGAATGAAATAATAAACGAACAGAAAGTTACGCTATTGGGGGTGTGATATGATTTGAATCTGTGTCCCCGCCCAAATCTCTTGTTGAATTTTATCCCCAATGTTGGAGGTGGGGCCTGGTGGGAGGTGATTGGATCATGATTTAGCAGTGTCCCCTTGGTACTGTTCTCACGTCTGGTTGTTTTGAAGTGTGCGGCACCTCCTGCCCCCCTTGTTTCTTCTCTAGCCGTGTAAAATGTGCCTGGTTCCCATGATTTGCCTTCCACCATGATTGTAAGTTTTCTGAGGCCTCCCCAGAAGCAGAAGCCACTATGCTTCCTTTACAGCCTGCAGAACCATGAGCCAACTAAACCTTTCTTTATAAAAGCCCAGTCTCAGGTATTTCCTTACAGCAGTGCAAGAACAGACAAATACAGGGTAATGTAAGGAAGGGGAAGATTTTCAGGAGGAAGTCTTGCTTGAAGTAAGTTGCTTGAGATATGTATCGAGATGACAAAGAGACTATCCTGGTAAGAAACTAATAGATTCTATTAAAGGAAAAATAGGTAGTTAGCTTCATTTATTCATTTAATTTGGGAAGACTTTGAGGTTTAGGGAAACTAAACATTTTTTCCCCAGGTCACACAGTGAATACAAGGCAACATAAGGATTGTCAGAGCTGTCAGACAAAAGATTCTTACCTCTTAACTAAATGGGACAGTAGAGAGATCACAGAGATGGTAATCAGGAAACCTGGTTGCTCTGCCTAATTTTCTCCCTACTTATCTACAACCTCAGACAAGCTAGTTATTAACTCTTGCCTCCATTTATTCATCTATCCTACCTTCTAGCCAGGATTGAATGAGTCCCAAGAGTCATAGAAAAAGTTAAGACTGTATTACACATGTTGATATCACTTTTATCAATGTTAGTCTCAGTGCTGAAATCATTCCCTAATCATACATAACTGGGCTCTAAAGCATCTTGAAGATACTATGACTTCACAAGACCTGCTTACTTCTAACTGGAGAGCAAAGAGCAGCACATCTGTTTTAATACTAAAATTTAAAATGGATCAAAAATCAACTTTCTAGACTCACAGGATAACTAGCATTCTTCTCCAGCTAGAGACAGCCCTGCCCCTATCATGGACCATGGAGGTGCATGTCTTGGGTCGAGGTCACCAGTGGGCCTTCCTCAACTCTCAATTTGAATTCTGTTTCAAAACGAATTAGCATCCTTTCTCTTGAGCTGGGATGTTTTACTCCTGGTACAGCCTAATGCAGTTAAACTTCCAATGGAAGGGTCAGAGTATACTCTCTTTTCCTTCCAGGAGACCTCTTGTTCTATATGTGAATTATCCACTTATCCCCCAGGAAAAGACTATTATTCCAAGCAATGTAAAGAACCACATTTCTTCATAAGGCATAAACTCTCTTGTCACACCATTTACTCAACAAGTGACTGCCTCCTAGTTACCCCAGGTATTTTTTTTTTCCAGAATATATAGAAGGCATTCTTAAGAGACTTTCTCTTTCACCTGCTCAGAGAAGGTGCTGACAAATTTAAATGTGAGTCATTTAAGTACTACAATAATAAAAATATTTTATTTCTGATTTGAATTGTACTTTTTGCCCATATCTATTTATTTTTCAGGGGGCAGGGGGTTATGACAATTCAATTTTTCTGTGGGGGAAGATTTGTGTCATTTAGAGTTCTGTGCAGGAAAATGAAACAATCAATAATATTTTAAGCAGAAGTATGTTTAATAGTAGAAAATAACTGCTTATAAAATCACTGGAAGCACTAGAGGAGTTGGAGTCAGGAGGATTCCAGTAATACAACCTTGTCCAAGCTGATACACTCTCACTCTGATCCAGGGATCAGAATACCATATAATCACAAATCCCCTCAACTCAAACAAAGCTAGTGGCTAAACAATGAATGCTTAATAAAACTACCACCATAGCTGGCTTTTGCCATTCAGGATTTTATGTCTTTTCTTTAAGAATAGAAATAAAATAATCCGAAAAGTGATATTCCACTTCATATTCCTCCTAGGAGTCTCACTCTAGTATATACAAGTGGCAGAAGCTGACTTGCATTTGGAAAGCCAGCTGAAGGAGAGTCTAGAAATGTAACTGTTGGCATTTCTGTCTCTTCTTAACACAAAAGTTCACCAATTAAGGGTATGGAATGAAGGCTAACTTTTCCTAAATGCATTTCCCTCATCCTTTAGAACTCTTCTTTTGCTAATTCATCATCTACACATACATTCATTCACCTACATTTAAAAAAAAATGGAAATAAAATGAGAACAAAATGAAATATTCCTATACCTCATGTAAGCCCTCCCCAAAAGAATAATATGCTTTTAACTTATAAAACCTATCCTCAAAGGAAGAAACCCAATAAGTCACCTTATTAATTTTGGAGTTACATTTATTCTTCTCTTTAAGTCACAATCTCATCTGAATTTGCTGTAATCTAAGGAATCGATTATGAAGATAATCACTATTGACATGCCTTTTATAAAATATAAGGGAGAATGAAAAGAAAAAACGAATGCATGCATCACAGAGCTGGAACTAATATATGGATAGCCATGATATCTTTTTCTTTAACTAGACACCAGACTATGGTTAGCAGTAATGGGTTTCTTTCTCCAACATTTTTTTTAAATTTATTTTTTATTTTATTATTTTGTTTGTTTATTTATTTTTATTTTTTTAGACGGAGTCTCACCATCACCAGGCTGGAGTTCAGTGGTGCAATCTCAGCTCATTGCAACCTCCGCCTCCTGGGTTCAAGTGATTCTCCTGCCTCAGCCTCCTGAGTAGCTGGGACTGCAGGCCTGCCCCACCACGCCCAGCTAATTTTTTTTTGTTGTTGTTGTTATTTTAGTAGAGATGGGTTTTACCATGTTGGCCAGGCTGGTCTCGATCTGCTGACCTCGTGATCTGCCCACGTCTGCCTCCCAAAGCGCTGGGATTACAGGCATGAGCCACCACACCAGGCCTTCTACACCATTTATTACATTTTTATTTTGCTCTTAGCCGGTACTTGAATTGTCTAATAAGCTATACTGGATGGGGTTACCCAAACTTTCATTTCTACTTGCTCTAAAGCATTGTAAACTTTCCCACATTGGTGTATCAGTCTGGTAGGGCTGCCTTAGAAAAATTCCACAGACTGAGTGTCTTAAACAACAGAAATTAATTTTTTTCACCGTTTTAAAAACTAGATGTCCAAGATCAAGCTCCATCAGGACGGTTTCTAAGGAGGCCTCTTTTCCTGGCTTGTAGTCATCTTGCTGTGTCCTAACATGGTCGTTTCTCTGTTCACATTTAGAGAAAGAGAGAGAGAGATCTCTGGTTTCTCCTCTTCTTATAAGGAAACAAGTTCTATAGGATTAGACCTTATGACCTCATTTAACCCTAGTTCCCTTCTTAATGGCCCCCTCTCGAAACAGAGTCACATAGGGGATCAGGGTTTCAACAAATTTAAGGCACACAACTCTGTCCATAGCAATAGAATTTCCTTTTGGTCTATTTTACTCCTCCATGTTTCCATTTTGTAGTAGTAATCCCACTTGCCTTGATAATAAAGGTCAGTAACTATAAAGTAGCTATAACTTGGAGTGTTACCTCACTGGCATAAAATATGCAAAATAGTAAAGTGACATTTTAACTTCCACCTCAACTGACCCATTATTAATCTCCTGATGCAAAGCATTTATTCCTTGGATACTAGGAATGCAAACTAAAAAAATCCAAAGCCATCAGGAATGAAAGACAATAATATTTATGAGAATGTAATTGGCTGTAATAGAGAGATGTGGCACTTACACTTTCAAACTTTGGTTACCAGCCAAATGGAGCCACGAAAACACAGAACTCTGAATTGTATACATAACTCTGGGTATATTCTGCCTTCTGTGAAACAAGACCCAAAGACTGCAAGGTAGCGTCCTCCAACAGGAGTCATAATTGTATCTTCAGTACTTTATTCCATTGTGCTGTAGTTTATTCCATAATTGTATCTTCATTACTTTATTCTATTGTACTGTAATTGTATCTTCAGTACTTTATTCCATTGTAATAATTATTCTAATTATTTCAGATCGATGGGTTATAAGGAAACACGGCCTCAGTTTGCCACTGCCTCAGTTCTTTTACTGTAACACAAAATCCATGCTCAGAAACAATGTTGTGTGGGACACTGTAGAGGTGCATATGGACTTTTATTAGTTCTCAGATTGTTCTTCTGGCAAAAGCATATCAGCATGATGGGCAAACCTACATGCAGAATAAGTGACTGTTTTAATGAGGACAAGTTGCTCGTCCTGACATAATGAAAGTGGTTTAATGTAAGCAAACTAGCACTAGATCATTTACTAATATTCCTAAAAGATAGTGCTATGGTGGGGTTCACCTCCAGTTCTGTTATGTAGGACTGTGCTTAGCAGTAAGACAGACTACATAAGCTTTGGATTGAAAAGTCCAAATTTTTGCACCATGTCCAACTTTCATCCCTGTCATAGCAACTACTTATTTTATAGATATGTTGACAAGAAGCAGGGTGACTGAAGGAGGAATGACATCCAGAGAATGGATCATTTCTATTCACCGTATGAGGTCTCTATAGCCGGCGCTATTTTGTAAGAATTTCTGTGTAACAAATATTCTGAGATTCTGGTCTATGTTGAAAAGTCTTTCCACACATGGCTTATCAATGCTTCTTGTCATCATGCTTCTAACTCTATCCTTTCAAAATTTTTGGCCATCTAGTCAAACTGTTAATTATGGCCAGCAGATGAATGTTCTTCCATATTTCTGAAGGTTTTATTTTCAGATAAAGTGAACTACAAGATATTTTGACATTGCGAAGATTTTTCTTTCATACAGAATCTTTCCTATGTGGGGCTGTAACGTTGGTCATCCTATTTCCTCTGGTACTTGTATATTGCTTGAAACCACTTATAAATCAGGTTTCCTGAGGAGTTCCCCATGAAGTTATTGTGTAGGCTTATGGGGCTTATAGAGACAAGTGAGTGTGTCAGGGGAAGATACATTGAATGTGTGAGCCACGTGACTACGTAACTTACTCCTTCAGGGATATCTCACACTGCGGGTCATAGGTACCACTTCTACTTCATCATGCGGTGCTTCTGTGAACAACACTTTTATGGCTTTGTGTCTCAATGGTCAGCAAGTCAATGTGGTCATAATCACTTAGTGTCTCAACCTCCCAGGGTCTAGTAAGAAAGAAGAAAATGTAAGAAAAATGTTTCTTGATGAAAAAACATACTTATTTGCCTAAGAGTGTTACAGACTGAATGTCTCTCCCCATAAAATTCATAGGTTGAAATCCTAATCCCCAATGTGAATATGCTTTTCACTTATAAAACCTATCCTCAAAGGAAGAACCCCAATAAGTCACCTTATTAATCTTGGAGTTACATTTATTCTTCTCTTTAAGTCATAATCTCATCTGAATTTGCTGTAATCTAAAGAATCAATTATGAAGATAATCACTATTGACATGCCCCTGGAGATGGGGCCTTTGTCAGTGAAGAAGGTGGTGAGGGCTCTGCCTTCATAATGGGATTAGTGCCTTTATAATAAGAAACATAAGAGAGTTTGCTACTCCTTTCTTTTTGTGCTATATGCAGATATAGAAAAACAATATCCCTCTGCAAATCAGGAAGAGAGCCCTCATTAGAAATCAAATTAGTTGGCACTTTAACCTTGGACTTCTCAGCCTTCAGAGTTGTGTGAAATAACTGTCTGTTGTTTAAGCCACCCTGTCTATGGTATTAATATGTTTCTTATAGCAATTCGAACTGACTGAGACAGAGGATATGGCTTTGCTCTAAATCACTAGGGACCAATGTTCTGATTACTTCAAGGAGTTTAACACATTTGCAGCACAAATTCTCTTTCTAGTGCATCTGTTAGGAAATAAGGTCAAGATATCAGAGCTGCAAGACAAAAATGCCAGATAAATTCTCTCTTTTTGAGCCCAACAAAAACACCAGCAGATGTATTTTTCACTTGGTAGTGGGTTTGAAGAAAATAATCATATGCAGGATATGTTCACTAAAATCCAACAAGATTTTGCTTCTGAAGCGTGGCTTTGCACTTTCTGGAGTGGAACATGTTGAGATCTTACTTCTCCCTTAGTGATAGAATGGGAAAAGGGCATCATTTTGATGTTCAATTTGAAAGAGAAATCATACAGACCACTTGAACCCCCCAAATTTCACCACCTTTGCATGATCTGAAATTTTGTAAGATGTATCTCCCACACTCTAGAATATACCTGTCTTAACAAGAATCTGAAATCTATTTTGTTTCCTGTCTGTAACATCCTATTGCTGTTTGCAAAATTTATCACCATGCTAGAATCTATGAAGTAGTCTAATAAGAGGTAGGACTCCAACAGAAGAAATTATTTCAGGAGTTGATATAGCTTAGAAATAAGGCACCAAAACTGTCCTGCTGTCTTGCTTTCCTTGCAAAGTGAAAGCTGTTTAAACCATTTTTATTGTTCTCTCTCTTTCTCTCTCTCTCTTCCCTCCAAAATAATTGCTGCATATAACAATCTAGGATTTGTATTAATTTGATCTAGCATCTGAAAACCCTATTGCATTTGAAGTCACAATTTTACATAATTTTATTAAGATTGTTTGATGCTCTATCATCTGTTAGGCCCTAAATGATTTTTCTAGAGCACAGTCAGTTGTGTAAACAAGAAGGAATATGATAGAAATTGCCACCCCTGAATTTTTCAATAGTTTTATGGTTTTCCCTCCACAATTCTTTCAGGAGTCCACTGTTGTTTATGGTATTTTGGTAAGAGTTTCATTCACAGACATTTACTCTTGGATATTGATATAATACAAAATCCCGCTCCAACATTAAGAGAACAAATATAGGATTCTTTCAGTTGCCACATATGTCTCATGTTAATATATATCCAAAAACTGGGGAAATATCCACAGGGTGTATTCTTTTTACAAGCTCCAGGATACAGAATTAGTTCAGAACAAAACTTATTGCTTAACCCATAATGTCATATTCTCACCATTGAAACACAGTCATGTTTTGGGTCCCTCTGATTAATATTAGCTCTAAGATGATGTCCAGTAATCTCTGAAATCTCATCTTATTATTCCTCAGCACCTAGTTACCCTTCTACATTGCTTCAGATCCAGTTACTGAAATCCAGGAGGAATATGTGTAGTAATTTTACATGTGTAGCATCTATGGACCTCCATAATTTGCCTGTATACGCTATTGATGTGTCCTGGGTAGTACATTTTCTAGTTTAACTGGGTACAGAAGTAACTCTCTAGCTCTCTGTAAAATAGACTGACAGTAAGTTTCTCTTCTTCAGACCTAGAGTGGTTTTTAAAAAACTGTATTTTCTTTATTTCTATTTTACAAGTATTATTGCTTTTGAGGATGCTCATCAAATTGTCCAAGCCTCTGTGGATCAGAACATGAGGGTTAGAGCACTAGTCCAAATCATATTCGGTAGTTCAACACAAACATGTGTCTTTTACCACTTTGGAGTTTACTAGAACCATCCATGTAGTAATAGAGTTGGAGACGTCAGTTTGAACTCATGTTTAGCTTAATATAGATACAGATGGTTACAGATGGAAATGTTTATAAATAACGATATATGCAAGAGTTCACATACACACATATAAATCTTTTATCTTTTAGCAAATATGATCTAGAAGCATCAACACCCCAGTAGCAGTAAGCACACCTACTGCTCAGATATGGTTTCTAAACCCATTCTCTGATAAGAGGATCCTAAAGGACTCCACAGAGAAATAACTGGTTATAGAATTTGGCAGAAAATGTGCAAATAAGCCTGGAGCATGCGTAAGATCAGAAAATAAGGAAGTGACCAGAAGTAAAAATTGCAAAATACAACCAAAAATACGCATTAGTGGGGTACGTGCAAGGGCACAAGGGCCAAAAGAAAGAGCTTTGAAAGGCCAAAGTTGGACAATTTGAGCAACAAAATTAATGAGTAGTTTTGGGATTATAACCCAAAGTATGGAACAAAATATATAAACTCATATTGATATAAAGAAATTAATAAATAATTTAAAAAGAGAAAAGAGAAAAATCTCCCATGTAAAAGCATTTCAAAAAATTTATGTAGATATAAAACACCCTTAATGAGGCGGAACATGACTCTTCACTCCTTATGTATTAGATATGCATAGGGACTTTCTTCCAAAGGGTACATACAGTTTGGAAGGAATGGAGTATGGTCCACGGAGAAACCTAACAAGCACTATCTCAGCCAAATGACCAAGGCCGACGTTGGCAGTGATAAGTCTGTTGATTATATGTACTCTTGATACGATGCAATGAAAATGGGACTTTAAGTCTTTGATCTTCCTTCTCAAAGCACCTAACCAGGCAGAGGACCCCGCTCAGCCATAGACCACAATAGATCATCAGAAAGATTTCTAAGGTTTTTTAATCAAGTCCTTGTCTCCTGGACTGCACCTTTGGATCCAGCCAGGGCCTGGGGGAGCTCATCAAACTGAAAGAAAGAGCAGAAGCCTAGCTGGCTGTATTACCTGCTGATCATAGAGCTCCAGGACTTTGAGCAAACACAGGTGGTGGTCAGGCAGTGGTTACAGCAGGCCTTGGGTGAGACCCAGTGCTATGTTGGCTTCAGGTTTGACCCAGCACAGTCCCAGTGTTGGTGGCCACAGGGGTGCTTGTTTCAACCCATTCCCATCTCTAGGCAGCTCAGAACAGCTTTATTTGGAAGAAGATCAGACAAGAGAAAGATATAAAGGGCATCCAAATTGGAAAGGAAAAAGTCAAATTATTCTTGTAAAGTTGCAGGATACACAATCAACTTACAAAAATCAGAAGCATTTCTATATGTCAACAGCAAACAATCTGAAAATAAAAAAGATCCACCTGCCTCGGCCTCCTAAAGAGCTGGGATTTCAGGCGTGAGCCACTGCGTCCTGTCAGAACTAAGATAATCTAAAAGAAGAATGGACTTTAGTTAATAATAAGGCACTGATATTGATCAATATATTGTAACACTTGTACCATACAAATTAAAGATGTTAATGATAGAAATAATTGGGTGTATGTGGGGAGGCATATGGAAACTCTCCTTGCAATCTTTTCATAAATCTCAAATTATTTGGGAAAATAAAATGTATTTAAATAGAAATACAAATTTGTGGAAGAGTTTGGACATACTGAAGTCAGGTGACAAGCATTTGGACTAGCTGTAGTAATATCACACCTATCAGGAAGCCTGCACAGCACCGAGCATACTGCCTGCTTTTTGACAGCTAATGAGTAGACAATGAAACACTGTGTTCAATGCTCTTGCAATTTATGTGCCCCTGCTTTGGATTCTCAGAAGGAGAAAAATGTTTTTTAAAGCAGCAGGGAGATCACCTCTGTGTGACTTCCTTCTTTCAAGCTTCCTTCAAATATATATAATTGGCAACATATTATTTGCTTCCAAAAACTTAATAAGAGAGTTTGTAAAATATGGAATTTAGGTTTACAACCTCTGCAGGAGGAAATACATTTAAAAGAGGGAAAAAATGGGTGCTGTGCATTAATCATCCAAACCCAACACACTTCCCCTATTTGCCATCGATAATGATTTGGGTGATGTTTATTTATTTTCCTTCTGTCTCTAGGGATGTGGGTACAGGATTTGCCTAATTAAGATGTTCTATTTTTCTAAATATAATAATGAATGCATTAATCTGAAAGCCAGTCTTGGGATTTAAGGGGAACTATTGGACCATGAAGCCAAATCCAAAAAAAAATCATAGCTATGAGACAAAAAGAGAACAATGTGTTTAGATTTTGTTCCATTTTGCCTACAGTTATCCCCTGCCTTGGCCTTCTCATTCTAAGTAAACGTGTTCGTTCCCTTTTTGTTTAAATCTGTTTGATTCACAATTTTATTAATTCACATTAAAATATTACTAATAAGGACGTGTTCCTTAAAATTTTGTTCCTAATACAAGAACCCGAAATGTGGAGTTGACTGAGGTAAAGTTTGAGTATGGGGCAGAGTGAATCTCTCCATCCTTAACTGGGAAGGTTACAATACTTCTTGTGTGGTAGCAAACTAGCAGCTTAACTTTTACGTCTTGAAATTAGATTATATATTTAAATAGCTGGCTCATTAGGAGACTTGGTAGAAATATCTCAACATATGCAAGTAACTTTGTTATTTTTTGCAGTCTACAGTAATGTCTTGTAAGAAAGAATGTTTTGAAAACTATTCCATTTGAACGTTCAATGAAAGAAAATACAGGCTTTATGAAGGAGCTATTTCCGCATAAAACCCAAAGCGAAAGAGTGCTGTGTTAATCTGGAAGATTTGAAAGAATCAGGATTTAGGGGGAAAGTGGTACAAGGTTAGGATTAGAGAACTCTTTCTGCTGTGTTCATTAAAGAACGATTATTTGCATGCCTCCAAAAATGAGTGAAAGATTACATGTGTCTTCACCTCTCCAGTGAATGCTTTGAATTGACCCCGAGTGAGACTCCAAAATGGAAGCCATTGAACTGAGAGCTAGGGAAATGATCGGGTCGCTGATGTGTTGCTTAAATGACAGAACTTCCCCACCCCTCTTGCTGGTTGTCGTCTCTCTGGCATTGGTCAGTAGCCCATACAATTGCAAAACTATTCATACAAAGAATTACTAAAACTTTTTAAAGAGAGTTTTATTGTTGAATAAACCTTAAGCTTAGAAAACAGAGACTTTTATTTTCTCAGTCACAAATGAAAATCTTCAGGCGTCCACACTAATACTAAAATGAAGTTATCTTCTATAGCAGTATATTCTCCAGCAGAAGAAGGCTCACTAATGTCTGTCTGGACAAACCATAGAGAACAATGGACACAGAAAAGGCCTCCAAGAAAGAAGAATTAAGAAATGCTACTTAGGTGGTCTCAAAATAAATCACTCCACCTGCAGAACTCAGAGTCTTTGCTCATTCTTCCTTTCACAAAAGATGTCACTGATGTTTGCTAAAAAATGACCATTCTAGCCTGTTTCTACTTACTTAACTTTTTCAAATGTACTTTATTACCATATTTATCCTGAATCCAAATGTGCTTGGGTTGTGATTTAGCTATGGATTTCTGAGTCTTAAGGAGCTTCCGCTGAGTTAGACATCAACTTAGGAAATTCATTTAGAGATTCTTGGCTTGGACCAGGACCGAGAAACGAGATGAGATTTTGCATTAAGGACATGATCACTTTCAGTTTTTTGAATGGATGAATGATATTAGTTATTGACATTTTACATATTGAATTACAAGATGAAAAGTGTAGGCCTACATGTTGATAAGCTGGACTGTAATGCTTACTCATCATCCAGAGAAATCATTATATAACTGCAGTAGCTAATTATTTTCTATAATTAAACATAAGTTTCAGGATAAGTCAGTATATGACCAGTGGTGTACCTGAAATAGAATATGCTTATATATTTTCATAACAAAATTTTCACCCAGTTATTAGGGCTTCTACAGATTCTATAAAACTTAATCTGAAATGCTTGCATTTAACAATCATGAAAATTACTGAAATATGGAGAAATAAAGTCCAATTTTATTTTGGACTAGATATGTTCTTCTAAAGCAATTAGAATATAAATATAATTTGCAAGCAAATAGATAAAATGTCAAAACCTTCAAATACATAATAGTTCTTTAACTTAGAAACAATTAAAAGTATACAACTACATTAGAAAAAAATGTGGAAGGGTGAGATTCTTTTCAGGTATTTGATAAATGCTGAAAAAAATTAGCTACAGTTCAATAGCAATCATAATAATTATTAAATAGTCTAACTAGGATGAATGAATCAGATTTCATTTTATTTTTGATGTAATGTAACTATCATAAGCTAACTCCTTGACGGTGAGGTTGAGGAAAAAGGGGAACCCTTATACACTGCTTCTGGGAATGTAAATTAGTTCAGTCACTGTGGAAGGCAATCTGGAGATGTCTCAAGTATCTTGAAATAGAACTACCACTTGCCCCAGCAATTCCATTACTAGCTATCTACCCGATAGAATATAAATTGTTCTACCCTGAAGACACACGCACAGGTATGTTCATCACAGCATTGTTCACGGTAGCAAAGACATGGAATCAACCCAGATGCTCATCAATGGTGGACTAGATAAAGAAAATATGGCACGTATACACCATGGAATACTATGCAGCCATAATAATGAACAAAATCATATCCTTTGCAGCAACATGCATCTAGCTGGAGGTTATTATCCTAAGCCAATTAATGTCGGAACAGAAAACCAAACACCTCATGTCCTCACTTATACATGGGAACTAAACATTTAGTACACAAGGACAAAGAAGAGAACAATAGACATCACATCCTACCTGAGGGTGGATGATGGGAGGAGGGTAAGGATTGAAAAACTACCTTTCTGATATTATGCTTACTACCTGGGTGACAAAAAAATCTGTACACCAAACTGCTGCAACATGCAATTTACCCTTGTAACAAATCTGCACATGCATCCCTTGAACCTACAATAACAGTCAGAGAAAAAATAACTATTTGATAGAGAAAAATATAAATAACATACAAAGAGAAACTTTCATCACAATAATATTTTTTGCATTGATTTCATCCGATCTCTTACTGGTCTAGTTAAAGCACCTAAAACATATTTAGATTCATGGTAAATCTATTCTACTGAATAATATAATATAAATATACTATACATATTCATATATAAATATATAATATAATATAAATATATATATTCATACATAAATATATGAATAATATAAAGCACTCACTCCAAAAAAATCATAAACAAGTTTTAAGTGTGTACAGAAATGTAAATACTATTTAATTGTTAAAATATTGTTTTCATTCTGTTCACAAAATTATTTCATTCATTTCTTAAAATTCATAGTATTTTCCTTTGTGGCTTTGCACCTGAAGCCAAAGACATTATTTTAGGGACAAGCTATAATAATTCTTCCCTTTATTATATCTAGAAAAGGGGATTTCTGAAGCCTCCATGTAACACCTAAAGTGCTGATTATGGCAGCAAGATTCCACAGATGAGGAAATACGTGACCTACCTGAGGTAACTTCTGCAATTAGGAAATCTGCTGAGATCAATTAAGGCCTGATTATAAATGGATGAGAGATACTTTCATCTCTCTATATTTTTGCTGTCCAGAATTGAACTTCAGAGAGATTGCCTTAGATAGGAAGCAATGACCTGCAAAAATGTACTTGAGGCTAAAACTGTCTTGACTGTTCATGATAATCTCCTAAGCAATAAGCTCTTTGATTTAGCCCCCCACTGAGGATCATACTGGCTCATATAAGAAAATGGTTCAATAAATTAAAAATTAACTAATACCTTCGCTTAAAAACAGGAAGAATACAGTAGGCACATATAAAGAAAGCATAATGATGCTTTAACTTTGCTAATGTACAAGAAGAAGCCTGCACAATTCTAAGTTTATATAATGATTTATAATACCTACCAAATAAAACCTTCCTTTTTTCTCTTTCTTAAGAAAATACACTTCACTAAAGTCAGAATACCTGCTAACATTTTAAAATCTTATGTTAGTGTATCTTCAGGCTGGAAGATAGCTCTGTGATGGCTGATCAATGAGTGCTGTACCCATAAGTGAATTATTTGTAGATGAGAGATACCTTAAGTCCTGGAAAAAATTTAATTTATGATGAGGGAACATTTCCTTCCACATAGCTTATTCTATTGTTTGTTTGTTTTCTTTTCACTCTCAGTTAAAATTTAGAGTATTATAATCTCATAATGTTAGTCAATTTTAGGTCATTTTATTTTGTTTTTCTTGACTATCAAATAAAGAAGCTCAATTAAGACCTTGAATATTTTTCCTTAAAAAGGAACAGTTAGGTTCTTGTATCTTTCAGAATTCTAAGATATCTTCACAGGTATATTTTCTAGGTCCATATGAAAAAAATCTTAGTCCATAATATTTACAATGTTTGCTTTAAGGAAACTATTTATTTTCTACAATTCTGAAACATATAGGTGTTATCTTTTCTACACATAGTGAATAACTGACAGAATTCCATGACTTCAGAAGCATGTGGGTAGAAAATGTCCTTTTGCCCCATGGCAAAGAAGGAAGATAGTTTCCAGAAGCTGAGCTTTGTAAACTCACTTCATTCTGAGTATATTCCTATTGATAAGAAGGAGCAGCTCTCTCTGTCTTTGAAGTGTTACCATGGTAATTTGATGAACATGTTATTTTCACCTATTACATCAGAATATGTCAATGGATCAGTCATGCAATGTTTTGCAGTGCAACAATCCATAATATAAAAATCCACTCACTTTAAAATCTTACCTTGACTGATTCAAATTCTACTCTGCTATATAAATATGCAACTTCCAATATGTCTAAATAATAACTATATTTTTGTAAAAAACATAGGCCCAGATTTTTTTGTAGCAAGTATATATACTAGGTATTTCAGCTTCTCATCCAAATAAAATCATCTAGCTAGCATGGGGGGTAAACAGACATAGTGCAGTGTAGTCCTTCAACTGAATGTGGGAAACTGACCCTGGAATATTAACCAAAACAGACTCTGATCACTTCTGGGAGTTAATAGAACAACCTTCTCCCTTACGATGGCTCAAATAGTTGATAAACACGTCAGAACATTATAAAACGTGCATTATCACATCAAAAATGCTACGAAATACTCATCCTGCCTCTACCTCCTCCATTCACAGAATTTTTTAGTGTTAATAGCATTATTTTCTAAAAATACCAGTATTAATGTATAATGTTCCATCATAAAATAAATTTTTAAATGAATCTTGGTTTTTAAATATATGTTTTTGTACTTCTGATATTTATATATGATACTTATGTGTGTGTGTGTGTGTGTGTGTGTGTGTGTGTGAAGTAGGGAAGTAACCAGAACACAATTGCTAGCTACATTTATTTTGTATTTATCTTTCCAATGTAAGGGATTTTTCAATAAAGCATATATCTTTTCACTGATTTTTATGGTGATTTTCCCCAGTCTGGGTAGGGAGATATGTCTTGACCACATTTTTAATTATCAACTACTTTAATAATGATGAATAATTTATAAAATAACTGCTGTGCTCTGGCACAATTGAGTTATTAAATAATTTTCCTCATTAAGTCTCTTGCTTTGAATTTTAGTCTTTATACTTCATCTACATATCTATACTACACACACACACACACACACACGCACACACCCCTCTTAAATCATCTGACCTTTTCAACATTTCTGATTAATCTGATATACCTTTTAAATATATATGATAATAAAGATAGGGTAATATTAATTCCATAAAAATAATAAAGTAAAACCAGGTTTTATAATGCAATTTACATTGGAGAAATTAGAAAACGTGCTGATTTGAAGGCAAACTCAAAACAAAATTAAAGGTAAATTGAATATTTATTTTCCCTAATGATAATTCCAGTAGCTGTCCTGTCATCTAACTAGTTATTTTGATCAAAGCCAGTGGTGACAGCTATATTTGGTATTTTGTTTAGATATATAATTAAAGTGAAGAATTATGTCTATGAATATTGAATGTGATTAAAAAGAAGTTTCCTTATTTTTCTTAAGTATATGTGTATATATATATATACACATAGTTTTTATAATAATTTTAAGTATCATAACCTTAAAAAACTTAAAAGTGCCACAATGCAGTAAAATTTCTACCCCAAAAAACACATTCTTTTTATATCATTATAGAAAATATGAGAAAAGTGAATACAAAAAAGAGGAACCTCTACGTAAACTAGCTGTAAGGCTTCACAAAAAAAAGTCATAGAAGATCAGAGATCACAGTTTTAGGCAGGCTAATTCAGTGTTACTACCATATGTCATATGATTTAACATATGTTTCACTATTATCTATTTCTCTAACTACCTGCATAAGAACAGACACAGGTGTCCCTTAACATGAGTGTTTTCAGCTGCTCCGAATAAGAGACTTGAGGAGCCCATATGTTAAAACAGATTTATTTTAGAGACTGATATACAACACAATGAGCTTTGAAAATAATGCTGAAAAATCTGCCAATTAAAATATCTCTACTAAAGGTTTTTAGATTTTAATAATAAAACCAAGTAATATTTAAATCAGCTCTTAAGCAAACAAAACACTAAAATGAGTGTGCTTTTTAGGTCAGTGATCATCAAGGACACATTTGAGAGAAGATGGAGTAGCTATGGCAGGCAAAAGACCAAACATGAATTTGACGTCAATGGTTGTGGTCTTTAAAGATCCCTACTCCATCAGATTTAGAATCACTCTGTTTATCTCTCCATCTATCATCTTTCACATATATTTATATTAACAGGGATGTTGGAATTCTTAAATATTTTGGCAATTTACTGTTTGCAAGAAGAAAGTTGAAGAACTAGTATCACCCTAGACAAGGAAATCCATTTATTGAGTACCTAGTATAAACCAGCCCTGTATTATATGTTTATATGTAATACTTAATGTAATCTCATTAAGATTGTATTTACTAAGATGGCAGTAGTATACCATGTTTCAAAAAGAAAGCAATTACAAAAGTTAATTCATGCAAGTTCATGTAGTTAATTAGTGCTAACTCAAGTCTACCTGGTTCCAAAATATTCTCATTTATTATACATGGTTTTTGATATATATAATACTCACATAGCACAATAGCACAGCACTCAATATTTCTTAAGTTTACTTTCAGTTTTGAGCATTGAACTCATATGTGATCTTGCAAAATATCTTGTCCAGTAAGTAGCATTGTTAAGGAGTAGTTCTAACAAGTAGCATTTATTGAGAATTTCCTGTCATCTAGACACTTTTCTCCTGCTTTTATATGCATTAGTTTATTCTGCCCCAAAGCTTTATGAAATAAATCGCTGAAGTTACATTTTGACTTAGGCAATATGCTGCCCTCAGAACTCAACTTCTGGATATTGCTGTGCTGCACAGGGCCTGCATTGGTGGTCTCACTCCATCAGAGGCCTGGCACAAGTGTCCACAAGTGTTCATTCACCAGAATGTGGGATTTTTGTTGAGGAGGTAGTGGTGGAGTTAGCGGCCCTCTGCCACCACTTGAGGATGACATGATAGGTGATATCCCAAATTCGTATGCAAGTAGTGAGTAGGTGGTAGAACTAGAGGCAGAAATCTCCTTTAATGAAAGAACTAGGCCCCAGGGGAAGGTAGGAATCAATGAATTGGGGTGAAAATGAATTATTGGATCCAATGCAGCAGTCATAGATGTTATAACTAATCAAAAATAAATATTAGGCAAAAATTGAGTAACTCAATTTACTTGGAGAAAGAATTCCATCAAGATATAGGATTTTGATATACGTTACTGGTAAAAAAGAATTAGTGATATGGAAGACATGTCAGAATAAGTTGCCCAGATAGAAATACAGAAACATAGAAGGAAGAATTAAAAAAAAAAAAAAGGGTTGCAGGCGCATACATACAAAACATATCTGGCATGATAATAGGGTCTGTGATTCCAGAAGAGAAAAGAAAAAATGGAGAAGAAGCCATATTTCAAGAGTTAATAATGGCTGAGAATTTTCAACACTGGTGAAAGACTTAATGCATGAAGTCAAAATGTGCTACAAATAACAAGCAGGATAATACTCCAACCCCTAATAAGGCACATCTGTTGGAAAACAAGAACAAAGAGAAAGACACTATAACAAGTGGGTCATACAGGGAGGAGATAGTAAGACAGTAGATTGAACTAAAGGTTATCATTAATTATATTACCTATCATGGAGTAAAATTTTCAATTACAAGACAATGACAAGCAGACTGAGCATTAAACAGGAAACATAAGTCGCTTCCAAAAAAAGACACCTTGAATATAAGGCTATACAAAGTCTGAATATTAAAATATAGACATATGCCCGTATAAGTTTGTGTGTCATAAGCATGTTAAAATGTTTCACAATTCCTCAGTTGAAATTCTGAAATCTAAAATTCATAGTATACCAAAAATTTAATCATCACTTTCAATTCAAATATTTGACACAAACACTTTTGGAAGCAAGACCTGGGCTTATTTGTCCTAAGGCTATCAGTCATCTTTCTTTATGCTTCTTAAGTCGAACATTAATATTGTACTCCAGTGATATTAAAGTCCTGTAGTTCCCCCATCCCAGTTTCATTTTCCATTGTTTCAGTTACCTCAGTCCACCATGGTCCAAAAATGTTAAATGAAAAATTCTAGAAATAGACAATTCATAAGTTTCAAACTGTATGCCATTCTGTGTAGTATGGTGAAATCTTGCACATTCTCCATCTATTCAGCCCAGGAGGTGAATCCTCCCTGGACACTATAGTGGATGCTATCATCCCCTTAGTCACTTAGTAGAAGTCTTTTTATTTTTTACTTTTTTTAGAAACAAGGTCTTGCTCTATTGCCCAGGCTGGAGTGCAGTGGAACCATTATAGCTCACTGCAGCCTTAAATGTCTGGCCTCAAGCGATCCTCCTGCCTCAGCCTTCCAAGTAGCTGGGACTACAGGTGATTCCCACCACACCTGGCTAATTGCAATCTTGGTTCAAATCCATTATCATGATATGACAGTGTTTGTGTTCAAATAACCCTCACTTTACTTAATAATGTCCTGAAAGTCCAAGAGCGCTATGCCTAATTTATAAATTAAGCGTTACCCGTATGATATATGCATAGAACAAAACATATATAGAGTTGGATACCATCCATGGTCTCAAACATCCATTAATGATCTTGGAAGGTATTCCCCAGGGACAAGGAGGGACTACAGTGTTTGTTTACAAAGCGCTGCCCTTCCCTAAAGGAAAGATTTCATTATATACTAATGTAGTATCTTGTAAAATCACTTACAAATATTCTACTCTCTCGAAGCAGTATACTTCCCTGACCCATTGAGGCAGGGCCTGGTCATGTGATTTGTCTGTCTAATGAGATGTGAGCAGGTAAAATACATTCCATCTCTGAAAATAAGTCTTAAATCCAAATACAAGATCAGATGGGTCTTTTTTTTTTTTCTCTTGTATTCCATTTTTGGCAACAGAACGGTTATCTTGCTTAGGGACTAGACAGGGGCTGTTTTCTCCTGCAATGAAAAGAGCTGCAGGGTTACCCCCCCGACCCCCACCGTCCCCGCTGACTCATAGCTGAGCTACCGTTTTCATGTAAGTGAGAAATAAACGTTGTTGAAAATTTCTATGTTCTTCGGGTTCTTCATTATCATGGATAAACAGGCTACTATAGGGTAATATATAACATATTATGTTTCTAAAAACTGATTCTATTGTCAATACTAAAAACACTAGCCTCCAGCATTTTAGAAAAGGCACTGGGTTTATTGACATCTGTCAAGTCCAAGTTAATTCCAAGTATCCCAGTAGCTTGGTGAGGGCTTGGAAAGGTTCTTGGTTATAGCTATCCATGTAGCTATCTGTGTTTGTATACAAGATAGGTTGAAAAAATAATGTAAAAAAATAATTGAGAGTGTTTTCAATATACGGAATAAGGAAAGAAAAGATTAATTTCCAGAAAGCTTCCCTTACTTGTCTTTCTGGCCACCCATTTCCTGGCTGTCTCATCCAATACCCAAGACAAGAGAAATAGCTAATCTGATTTGCCATAATCAAACACACTGATTTGCTTGTAGGGGAGATTGTGGTTTTAAAAGACATAAGCCCATGGTATACTCTTTTTTTTTCTTTCCTTTTCTATTAAGTTTTTGAGAAAATTGACCTAGTATCTGACTTGTTTTCGTTTGTTAGTTTTCTTTTTTTCCTGTTGGTTTTTTGTTTTGTTTTTTCAGATGGAGTCTTGCACTGTCACCCAGGCAGGAGTGCAGTGGTGTGATCTAGGCTGACTGCAACATCTACCTCCCGAGTTCAAGCGATTCTCCTGCCTCAGGCTCAGGAGTAGCTGGGATTACAGGCATGCACCACCACGCCTAGCTAATTTTTTGTATTTTTCTTAGAGATGGGGTCTCACCATGTTAGCCAGGCTGGTCTCAAACTCCTGACCTCAGGTGATATACACTTCTCAGCCTCCCAGTCCTGGGACTATAGGCATGAGCCACTGTGCCTGGCCTAGTATCTGACTTCTTAAAACAAGTTAAATCCTATTTCTCTCCCCGTCTTTGCTTAATCATGCTTGAAAATTCCTGGTTACTGTATTAGATTCTTGAATAGAGTAGAAAGTGGTAAGATGCTAGCATTTCTATGTGGGGAAAGAAGGAAGTGTCATTTATGTCTTAAGTATTAAATGGATTTCTCTTCACGGCTTTATTACCACTATCTCATTGGTGAACTTAGCATTCATATAATTATTAAAATATATTATTTATTTTCCACTTGTAGAACCCTTCAAGAAGGAAAATACTGGCCAGGCATTAATCAGGCACCCTCAATATATAGGCATATTACCAAATACATTAAATTCTCATTTTAACTCCATCCATGCAAGAGCGTCATTAAAATGATGCACCTCAGAACATAGTGAATAAAAAAGAAAATATAAGATCCATATTTTCCTAATCTTATGCTAATTTATGAGTAAATTATGAGTAAATTAGCATGAGATTAGGAAGAATAAATCATGTCAGTAAGGACATAAGATACGTAGAAGGACAGGATGTTATAGTGAGAAAATGGTGTATTATATTTGGTGTATGTGTATTAGATATTTTCAGTGCTGGATTTTGACAGTGTGTGTGGTGTGGCCAGTGGTGTACATGGCTGAAATGAAAGTGATACCAAAGCTACTAGAATTTATCAGGTCAGGAAATCATAAGGCTAAGGGGCAGTGATGTGAATGTTGAAATCCCTCGGTTTCAAAGCTGAAATTGGGATGGAGTGAAAAAGGTATCAGATTCACAAGTGTGTGGTGAGTTTTTAGTTAATAGACTATGTAAACTGATGACTAATCTTTTGATCCTGGCAATGGAGATTTAGGGAAAAGCAACTGTTGGTGGTATATGGGACATGATAGAATGTGTGAAGGTTTCATTTAAGAAGGTTGCAGAGGTAGCAAAATTCTTGGGAAGAGCTAGGTTTCACCAAATCAAGTGTTTGGATTATAGGTTCTGAAAGAGATTGATTGTGTATGGTAATGTGTTTATAAAGGATAATTGGTTCCTAAAAACTTAGGTGTGACAGTTAGTGGGTAACATGACAAGAGAAAAATAAATTAAGAGGGAATTATTCAAGTTAACTGAATACCTTCCTGTGCAGTTAAGTTAGCTAGTTAACATATAAAAAAAACTTCAATGATGGCCTATAAACATATACATTTTATAATATATTTGAAATCATGACATCTTAGATTCTTACCCAGCATATGTGGCAAGCATCCAAATCTATATTTTACTTTAACTTCTATTTTTCTAGAAAGACAAGCTATATTTGCTTATGTATAATATTCTGGAGCTAGGTCTGTTCTACAGTATTCATCAACATTACCTGGTAGAGCTCATTAATGGCATTTACAAGTCACTGATTATCCTGTGATACTCATTTAATGAGGGAATTTAAACTCATTTAGAGTATCTGGCTGTTTTCTCCTGATCTCTTTGTTTATTTTAGTCTTCATCTGTATCCTACGCATGTTTGTTCCAATCTTTCTTCTTCACAAATCAGTTTTATTAAAGATGGAAAGCAAAGTAAGTGTTGGTTGCTCATTTCTCTGCATAGTGTAAGTTATATCCCAAGCAGAGTTTTCATGGATATTTAAAAAATTATTTTTGACATATTTAAAATCTCTGACTTTCTTTGGGTCTCTGTCCTTCTTTCACAGTATTATTAATATAGGCATGCTATGTTCTGTTTATCTTTTATTGTGCTCTGATATTTTTGCCTTTCTTGCTCTTCTCAAGGGACCTAAAATGCTGAGTTGGTCAAGGGTATGTACTGTACATCTCCCTTTTGAATAACTTATTTTCTCATCAGGATCATTTACAATTAGAGCATAAGGACTCATTATTGCAAAAGATTCAGACAATAGATTTATATCTCTCCGTATCTGCTTCCTAAAGTCTGAAATCTTCCTTTAAAAAGTCATATTGATGAGTATGTTGCTTTATAATTGGAGGCATTTTAGTGTGGCATTTAAGAGTGAAGGTCTTGGAGTCAGACAAGACTAAAATTCAACCCCGGAGTTCTCATTTACTATATGTGAGTTTAATAATTCTTAGCGAGTCCCGGAAACTATTTATTTGTCAATAAATGCCGTAACAGTATACATCTAATTGGGTTACCGGGTCTATTTTATGAATTAATGACATAGAAAAATTAACCATGATACATGACAAATCACAAGCATTTGTTAATCTTTCTTGTTACTGATATTAATAGTTTTTTTCTTTTTAAAAGTGTATGTGTGTAATGTTTCTTCATCTAATCACAAATCATTTGCATTCAGAAGTTTACATTTTTCAAAACTATCTCTTACATCAATAAATATGGAATTTTTGAACCTTGTTTTCTTAATAACAACAACATATTAGAACATGTTTGAGGGTTGCTTTTTCTTTTATTTTACCTACTTCTTAGTTTATTCCCTTCTGCTGTTAATTTATTCATTATTCACTTCATCTTTTTTTCTTACATTTCTCATCACTCTGGCTTTTCTATTTTTAGCAACAGGGTAATTTTTTTGCTTTTTTACAAAATTTTACATTAAATTGCATTATATATTTTCTAAATATTTTCTGTATTGGTTTTGAGAATTTACTATAGATGGAGAAGTTTTCCTGAATATTATGACTGGAAAGCAAGTGTCAATTGTATCATGCTAGCAATGTTTTAATTGCGTCGTACATAGCAAGGGGTCAGGACTCACAGGCTGTTCTGTGCTCTCTCCATGGATCCTCAAAGATCACTTTGTGACAAATGATTCTATAGCTGATGCAGAGAAATGTCATTTAGAGGCGAATGCCTGGTTGTTGCTTCCTTTTTTTTAGCATATATTTTTAATAATTATGTCATTTTACTTCATGTATGCTAACTAATGATTCAAGTTTTGTACAAATATGTAACATTTTAACTTAAGCAAACAAAATTTAACACTTATTAAAATTAGAATGACTGAAGAAACGCAAGTAATTTTATGTTATTCTATTCTACAGTAATAAACATTTATGAAAATCTAACAGGCTGAATACCAAAGTTCACTGTGGTCCTTTCCCATCTTGTGGTTTTTGCATCTTACTGCAAAACTTCTGTGTTTGCTTCTGTGAAAGAAAGACAACTGAAGGATCATGTTCCAGCTGATAAATGCTTTGCTCACAGGCTTCTGGCCAGAAGTCATCGAATCGCTCACTCAACCAAACCACAGGAGGCTGGGGAATACGTGAGACCAAGCACATGGCTATGTGATAACTAGGGAATATCTCAGCCACAGTAATCTTTCTTCGGTTTTTTTTTCAGTTTTCTTACATTATTGTTTGCTAAGGAATTTTTCAAGGTAAGTACTCAATTGCATTGTTTGCTTTTCCTGACTCTATTGAAAGATTCATACTATATTTTTTCTCCTTTTTTAATGTAATGTAATGAATTAAATCAATGATAGCAAACCCTCCTTTTATACCTAGGTCATGTTATTGTAATACATCACTGGATGTGGATTGCTATTATTTAGTATTTTTGCATCTTTTTCACAAGATACTCTAGCCTGAACATATTCCCGTCAGATTTTAAGAGCTAAATTACATTTGCTTATTATAAGATTTTCAGTGTTTCCTCTTTTTCTATTCTCTGGGAAAGTTTTTATAAGATTGGTATAACGTCTTCCCTAAATATTAAATAATTAACTGAATAAGCAATCTGGGAATAGAAATTCTTTATTTAATATAAGAATATATATTGATTTATTTTATTAATAATAAATAAATTTAAAATAAATAAAATAAATAAGTTTAAAATAAATAAATATTTTTTTAAAATAGAACACATTCTTTATACTTTCTATTATTTTCCAGTTGAAGATTGTGTTTTTTGGAGCAAAGACTCTCCTGATTGGGTTTATGCCAAATGTTGGAGGAGGACGGGTGTGGATTGTGGGAACTGCTTCACCAACCTTTGTGTAGAACATGATGTAGTGTTGTTTGCATCAGCAACTATGCCAGGTCCTTCTAAGAAATAATACGTAACATGGCAGAATGTTCATTATAAAGCAACGTGGTGTCCTCTGTGCTAACAAACTTAGATACTCAGCATAATGCATAATTTGTCTACATGTCTACATCTTCTTTATTTGGATTATCGTGCCTACCAATACATAAAGATAGTTTTTTAAATTGTGTTTTTTAAACAACTCACACCATTTAATCTTAAGCTTATTTTCCTAAAGTTGCTTTTATATTTTTGAAATGTCTGCGGAACTTAAAGTAATATTCCCTTTTTTTAACCTCGATATTGGAAGCTTGTGTTTTCTCTCTTTCATTTCTTTCTTGGTTAATCCTGCTGTATGAATCCTGCTTCTTTTATAAATGTAATCTTTTAAATGACACAGCATTACCTTTGGTGATATTTTGATGGTATATTTCTTTCTATGTACCTAAGTTTTATTTCATCATTATTATTTGCTCTCTTCTATTTCTTTAGGTTTATTTTGTACTTTTCCCCAGATGTTTAGGTCATTTGGTATCAGCCATTGTTTCTTTTTCTAATATGTGCACTTAATGCTTTAAGTTTCTTTATGAGCACTACTTTACCTGAATTATAAAATGTCTTGCACAACATCTATTCATTGTCATACAGTTGAGATGTTTTCCTCATTATTATTTCAGTTGTTTTCTGCCATTCCTTGGACTGAATAGAAATTATGAAAGTATGAGAATAATAGAAGTATACCAATGAATTTAAAAATTAAGCAAAGCCAATATCTGATTCAACAATTTTTTCTAACAATACTTCAGAAATTTTGTTTCTAATTTATTTTTAATAATACCTATATGTTGCTTAATATTTTCTATGGAATTCCATATAAAATAATAGAGAAGTTTTAATATTTATTTGTTAATATTTATTTTTTATGTTGGAATGCTATGCAAATGTCAAGGAAGTTGAAGAAGTGATTTCATTCTGGGGCAAAATCTAATGTGAATTATCTTTATCTGAATTATTTCAGAATATAATTGTATGAATTTAAAATATGGGAGAGAAACTGGGGGATTAATGAAAGTTAAAACATGTATTAATAAACAAAACTAGTAGTAATGCCCACACCTCTTACATATACAATATCCTTTCTCCATAAAGCAAATTAACACTTTCAGTATTTACCCTGTTTTTTTTTTTTTTTTTTTTTTACCATTTATTAAACTACTTTTTAAAGAAGCAATAAGTGACAATTTTAAGAGTAGAACTAAATGAGAAAACATTTTTTGTTTTTCACTTAGACATTTAAATGGGAACCTACTGTTAAAATCACAAGAAATAATAGATCAATATCTATTGTGAACATGGATGCAAAAGTCCTCAATGAAGTATCAGCCAGACAAATCCAGCAATACAAAAATAATTTATTCTGGTCAGGTGTGGTGGCTCATGTCTGTAATCCCAACATTTGGCAGACTGAGGCGGGCAGATCACTTCAGGTCAGGAGTTCGAGACTAGTCTGGCCAACATGGTGAGACCCCATCTCTTCTAAAAATACAAAAATTAGCTGGATGTGGTGGCACATGCCTGCAATCCCAGCTACTAGGGAGACTGAGGCAGGAGAATTGCTTGAACCCAGGAGGCAGAGGTTGCAGTGAGCCAAGATCTCGCCACTGCACTCCAGTTTGGATGACAAAGTGAGATTCCACCTCAAAAAAATAAGAAAAATAGGCCGGGCGCGGTGGCTCACGCCTGTAATCCCAGCACTCTGGGAGGCCGAGGCGGGCGGATCACGAGGTCAGGAGATCGAGACCATCCTGGCTAACACGGTGAAACCCCGTCTCTACTAAAAATACAAAAAATTAGCCGGGCGTGGTAGCGGGCGCCTGTAGTCCCAGCTACTCGGGAGGCTGAGGCAGGAGAATGGCGTGAACCTGGGAGGCGGAGCTTGCAGTGAGCCGAGATCGCGCTACTGCACTCCAGCCTGGGCGACAGAGCGAGACTCCGTCTCAAAAAAAAAAAATAAAATAAAAAATAAAAAATAAGAAAAATAAAGATAAAAATAACTTCTTCTATGACCAAGTGAGATTTATCTCAGAAATGCAAGGTTGATTAAAATCTGAAAATATGTTAATGTCATATATCATAACAATAAAATAAAAAACAAATGATTATTTCAATAGCTGCAAAAAATTTGAAAAAATTCAACAACAATTTTTATCAAAATTTAATGTTTTGATAAAAAACACTCCAAAAACCAGGAATAGAAGGAATCTTTCTCTAGTTGATAAAGGGCATTTATGAAAAACACACAGCTAATTTACAAATAATGGTGAGGAACTGTATGCTTTTTCCCTAAGATAAGGATTAAAAGAGGGATATCTGTTCTCACCATTTCTATTCAGTGTTGAACTAGAAGTACTACTGAGAGCAATTAAGCCAGAAAAATAAACTAAAAGCATTGATATTGGAAAGAAACTAGAAAGACTATCTCTATTCCCAGATGACATGATCCTACATATAGAAAAATCTAAAGAACTGAGTAAAATTATTGGAACTAATAAACAAATTCAGCAAGTTTGCAGGACACACGATAAATATGTAAAATTAATTGCATTTATATATACTTTCAAAAGCAATTTAAAAATGAAATTAAAAAACAATTTCATTTACAGTTGCACCAAAAATAATAAAATACTTGAATAAATTTAATAAAATTACTGTAAAATGTACTCTGAAAACTACAAAACAATGTTGAAATAAATTAAATAAAGAATTTTTAAAAATTACATCTTCATGTTCTATAAGATTTAACATTGTTAAGATGGAAATAGTTACCAAATTTCCCTACAGATTCTATGCAGTCCATATCAGATTTTCAGACTACTTGTAGAGTTGGTAAGATTAATCTAAAATTTATATAAAATTAAATATTAAATGGAACCCAGAATAGCCAAAAACATCTTGAAAAAGAAAAGTAAAGTAGGCGGACTCATATTTCCCAATTTTGAAACTCACTACAAAGCAACAATAATCAAGATAGTGTGATATTAGCAAAATGATAAATGTATAAGCCATGAGATAAAATTAAGAGTCCAAAAATAAACCCATAGATCTACAGTTATTGATTTTCTAGAACTTTACCAAAACTGTGTAATGGTGAAAGAATGATAATTTTAACAAACTGTCCTGGGACATCTGGATCATCACATGCAAAAGAATAAAGGTAAACCCTTATCTCACACTATATAAAAAATTAACTCAAAATAAATTTAAATGTAGGAGTGAAAACTACACAATGCTTAGAAGAAACTATAAGGGTCAATTTTTTGACCTTATACTTGGTAAGTGATTATTAGATACAACACAACAAGCATTAGCAACAACAACAACAAAGAGATAAACTAGACTTCATCAATATTAAAAACTTTTATGTTTCAAAGGACACCATCAAGAAAGTGAAAAGACAACCTATGTAATGGGATAAAATATCTACAAGTTACATATCTGATAAAAGGCTTGTTTCCAGAATATATAAAGACAACTTACAACTCAATAACATAGATACAAATAACTCAATTTTTTTAAATGGGTAGATGATGTTAACTAACATTTCTTTCAGTAAGATTACAAATATCCAACAGGCAAATGAAAAGATACTAAATTTAATTCGTTATCAGGTAAATTAAGTCAAAACTATAATGAAATACCACCTTATACCCACTACGAAAGCTAGAATTAAAAAATCAGATAATAAATGCTGTGAAGGAAGTGGAGAAATCAGAACCCTCATATAGTGCTGGTGGAAACGTAAAATGGTATAGCCTCTTTGAAAACTAATCTGACGGTTCCTTATGTGATTACATAAAGATTTTCCATATGGCCCAGCAATCCCACTCCTAGGTATATACACTTGGAGAAATGAAAACTACACTTACAAAGAAACTTGCACAAAATCATTTGCAGCAACATTATTCATAATAGTTAAAAGGTGTAAACAATTCAAATGCCCATCAACTGATGAATGAATAAACAAAATGTGGTATATACATATAAAGTAACATTATCCAATTATAAAATGAAATGAGGGAGGATAAGGTCCAAGAATCACTTGAGGCCAAGAGTTGCAGACCAGCCTGAACCATGTAATGGGAATGAAGTGTTGGATGTATACTGTAACAGGGTGAACCCTGAAAACATCATGCTAAGTGAAAGAAGTCAGTCACATGTGACTACACAGATAATTCCATTAATATAAAATGTCCAAAACAAGGAAGCCCATAGAAACAAAAAGTAGGTGAGTGGTTGCCTAGGGTTGAAGGGAAGAGAAGGATCACAGAGTGGTGATAGCTAATGTGTACCAAGTTTCTTTTTGTAGTGATAAAAATGTTCTAAAATTGCTTGCAAATATACATACTCTTCAACTTGCAATGAGGTTATGCTTTAATAAACTCATCATATGTTTAAAATACTGCATGTCAAAAATGCATTTAGTATGCCTAAACTACCAGAATATTATAACTTAGCCTCTCCTACTTTAAATGTGCTCAGAAAACTTACATTAGCCTAAAGTTGGGCAAAGTTATCTAACACAAATCCTATTTTATAATGAAGTGTTGAATATTTCATATAATTTATTGAGTGCTGTAGTGAGAATAAAACAAAGAACGGTTGTATGGCTATGTAAAGTATGGTTTCCACTGAATACATATCGCTTTCACACCATAGTGAAGTTGAAAAGTTGTAAGTTCATTGAAAGTTGGGAAATGTCTGTATCTGTGAATATACTAAAAACCATTAAATTCTGTATCTTAAATGTGTAAATTATGTGTCCTGTGAACTACATTTCAATAAAGCTGCTTTAAAAAATATTCTTTGACAACTGGATTATACATGAATATGTAGTCAAAACCGCAGTCATAAAGGAACAATCACAATAATTTCTACAATCTTACAAGTGCTCGATATACAACCCAAGCTACAAATAGAGCCCTGTGTCAAGCAGCATATGCCAATTTATCCCAGCATTTTTGTAAGACATCCTGTTGATGCTGGAGATGGCAGTCATGGCTCATACCTTCATTTCCTCAGGACTGTGAAGTTCTTGACTCATCCTCATAAAGATGTCAATGATATGATATTCTGGGGGTCCGGGGGAACTACTATTCCAAGGTAAGCTGGTATTTCAAGAAAAAGCCCTCCCCAGTTCCTTTGAATATATCCATAAAATTAATAACTTCTAGCCTGCACTATGTATGTGAGAGGGAAACCTCATTTTCCTGCAAAATGGTACTCATAAAGACTTTCTAAAGCTGCGGGAAAACCCTTCAGTGTGTGGCAATTTATAACCCATCACTATGTTCTTTACACACACACACACACACACACACGCAGACTCAAAGACTTATAGCCTTATCACTGAATTGAAAACAACTTGCAGAGTCAACTTTGTCTTCTATGGGAGCCTGGAAATGACAGCTGAAATTTTATTTTCCCTTATCTGCCTCCAACAGGGTTTACTGGGTGAACAAAAGGGTTTCACCTTTCACCAATCAAAGAGGAACATGAAACTCTCAGCCAGCCCTCCCTGTGGATGAACTCGGCTAAATGGTGATGCAAAGATGATTCGTGGCTTTTCAGCCATGTGAAATGTAAGAGTAGTTCAAATTTGATGCCTAATACATGTTTACTAGGCACTGAACAATAAATTTTTGAATGTGTTCAATTTGTTTGAATTATTTTGCATATACTAAATAAAAATTACATGTTTTTATTCATAATTTTTAATAAATTTGTATTTTACTATTTACCAAGGTATCTAAGCACACTTTAAAATAGGCACACATAGATATCACACTGTCTTAGTCCATTCAGACTGCTACACCATAAATTGGGTAGCTTATAAATTACAAAAATCTATTTCTCATAGTCTGGTGACTGGGAAGTCCAAGATCAAGGTGTCAGCAGATTTGGTGTTTGGTGAGCAATCACTTCCTCATAGATGGCCATCTTCTCATTGCAGCCTCACATGACAGAAAGGTCAGGAGATCTCTCTTGAATCTCTATTATAAGGGGATGAATTTCATTCATGAGCACTCCACCCTCATAACCTAATCACCTTCCAAAGGCTCTACAACCCAAAACCAACACCTAGAGTATTAGGATTTGAACATACAAATTTTGAGGGAATGCAGACATTCGGTCTATTGCACATACTATAATATTATGTCACTTTATAAAGTGTCATGATTTTTATATATGCAATTCATGCTCAGAGCAATTCTTGAAGATAAATATGATCTCCATTTTATAAATAAGAAAACTGAGGCTCAGAAAGACAAAGTCACGCGATCAATGTCTCGCCATGAGCAGGTCATAGAACTGGGATTTGTTCCCAACCCTAGCTAAATCTACAACTCTAAAATTAACTTTAATTACCCATAAATAAATAACCATAAATTCAATCAGGTTCAGTGGCATGCCTCTGTGTGTTTACTTTGCCTATTTATTTGGATGTAGTCAGAAAATAATTGTTCCTATTTAGCTTATTATGTTTTCTATAATTTGTTCACATGTTGGATATCATATATTTTCCAAAACTGTTACTTAGAATACAGAGATTTGTGACAGTTATACCTTCATTATTCACTGTATACTTCATCATTATAAACTTACCTAATTTTTCACTTTAAAATAGATTTTTGCCTGTGTCAGGTAAAGAAAGTATATAACAAAAAAGATTAAGAAAAAAGGTGCTGTTAGAATTGAATTCTGTTGTTCAATATATTCGTGTTCAAAATCACACACGTACAAGCACTGTATACACAGGCATGTGGTTATCATAGTCTAATCAGATAGATATCTGTAATTAAGGTGAAGCAAGAGGCACAGCCATATTAGCCAGGCACGGTGGCGGGCGCCTGTAGTCCCAGCTACTCGGGAGGCTGAGGCAGGAGAATGGCGTGAACCCGGGAAGCAGAGCTTGCAGTGAGCCGAGATTGCGCCACTGCAGTCTGCAGTCCAGCCTGGGCGACAGAGCGAGACTCCGTCTCAAAAAAAAAAAAAAAAAAAAAAGAGGCACAGCCATTCTAATTGAATAGTTGGAATATTGATAATATTTTAATCAGGCCCCTTCAATGTAAATCAAGAATCTTTCTGCCCAGGCACAGTGGCTCACACCTGTAATTCCAGCACTTTCGGAGGTCGAGGTGGGAGGATCACTTGAAGCCAGGAATTTGAGACCAGCCGGGGCAAAAAATTGAGGCCCTGTCTCTACAAAAATGTTAATAAATTAGCCAGGTGTGGTGGTGCCCACCCATAGTTCCATCAACTACAGAGGCTGAGTTGGGAGAATTGCGTGAGCTCAGGAGTTTGAGGCTGTAGTGAGTTATGATCACACCACTGCACTGTGGCCTGGGTGACAGAGTGAGACTGTGTCTCTAATAAAAAAAGATATTTAAAAGAAATTTCAAAATTTTTTTAAAAATTGGGTTTTTTTTTTGCCTTTTGGCTTGCCTGAGTTCTCATTGGTCAACTGATACTTTCAATACCTGCAAAAATTGGGACGTGTACCTTCCAATGAGAGTATTTATATCATGTCCCAGGAGTAGCTGAATTTTACAGAGAGGAAAAAAAAAATAACAACAACAACAAAACTCACTTAGTGTTCTGGGTCTTAAATTTGGGTGCTTTGTTGATGCAATAAATGTCAGAAATAGAAAGAAAAACTTATCAAAACTACAAAGTTATTTCTGATGTCATTGAGGCAACAAATCAAACTCCAAGATGACATACTGGTTATATGCTTTGATGCTGGTCAATCTGTGAAGTTGTTATTTAGGTTCTTCAAAAAAGCATGCATAACTGCAAAGTGATTTCATGACACTTGTGTTTTGCAATACATTATTACTAAAAAAAGCTTTAAATATTTACTATTATTTTGTATCATAGCACCTCACACTTTTATATTAATATGATAAACCTACTTCCTTTATGTATTAATGATGTATACTTAGTTATTCTTTTATAATTCTATATGATGCTTTTTAATGTTTCTTGTTTGTTTTTGTTTGTTTGTTTGTTTGGGGGGGATGGAGTTTCACTCTTGTTGCCCAGGCTGGAGTGCAATGGCACAATCTTGGCTCACTGCAACCTCCGCCACCCAGGTTCAAGTGATTCTCCTGCCTCAGCCTCCCGAGTAGCTGGGATTACAGGCATCTGCCACCACGCCCGGCTAATTTTGTGTTTTTAGTAGAGACGGGGTTTCTCCATGTTGGTTAGGCTGGTCTCGAACTCCCAACCTCAGGTGATCTGCCTGCCTTGGACTTTTAATGTTTTATTACAACCCTATAGTATTTAAAATTGCTTGTAACTCTTTTAAATTTAGGATGTATAGCCCATTCATGATTATTGCTATAGGACATGTAGTTTTGCTTTTGTCATCTTTATATTATTACTAATATTATTATCATATCTATTTTCCATTTCTTCCATTTTTATGGGGTTATTAATTTTTATAATTCAGTAGAATGCTGTATTTTTAATCCATATCACCCTAAAACCAACCACTTGAGACAAGGGAATATGAAAATATTTTTCTTTTCTCTATCCACTTTCTCTACTCAATTCTCAGTCTTTGTCAATAAATTATTAAGAAATTTTAAAATGTATTATGTTGTATTATATTATATTTTCTAATAATTCTCATACATTAAATTTTACATATAATTTAAGCATAATCATCAATTGGTTTTAATATTTCCAAGAATTTCTTTGATAAAGATTTCAAAATGCTTAGGAAGCCTTCATTCAATAGTAGGAATACTTGAAATACTTTAGATCTCATATCTTCCATTTGTCTTCACAAAAAAAGTTAATTTTGCTGGGTATAAAATTTTATAATTCAAAACTTATATTTGAACAGTCTTATCCATGTAAAGCTTTAGTATTGTAGTATTTAGTATTTCAGTAAACATATTAAATAACAACATAATTTTTAATAATTTTTAAAACTTTATTTTTGTTTATTTATTCTTTTAGAGACAATGTGTCACTCAGTCATTGAGGCTGGAATGCAGCAGCACAATCTCGGCTCACTACAACCTCCACCTCCCAAGCTCAAGTGAGCCTACTACCTCAGCCTCCTGAGTAGTTAGAATTGCAGGCATGCAGCACCATATTTCACTAATTTTTGTATTTTTTGTATAGACAGGGTTTCACCATATTGCCCAGGCTGGTCTCGAACTCCTGGGCTCAAGCAGTCTGCTCACCTCAGCCTCCAAAATTGCTGAGTTTACAGGTGTGAGCCACCATGCATCGCTTAAACTATTTTTTGTGAGGATTTCTAGTTTTATTTACTTAAAATATTTCAATATTACTTAGAATATTAGATGAAAATGTTAGAATAAATAAATACTTAGAATATTTGATGAAAAGGGCATGTTGATAGTGCTGGATAATTTTTTGGTTGTCACAGTATTTCTGGAAAGATGTTTGGCAGAATGTTTGAACAAAAGCGATACAGAATGTTAGAGGCTATTTGAGCCGATGAAATTGCACGCCAAAAAAATTTGGTAAACTCAAGCACTATACAAGAATTGTTATTTAGTTCAGATGAATGTTATGACATTTTATTTCTCATTGTCTGTGTCAACGCCCATCTGTTTCATCTATTTGAGGGTCTATTTCACAGAAACCAATTATCTCCATGTTTACTTTCTACTCCCTTCCTCAATCTTAATAATTGCAATCATTTATTGTTTTATCTCTGTGTTTATTAATTATCCATATTCTGAGAATACCATAGTATCTTCTATTATACAAACATGATTTCCTACTTTTGGACTGCTGTATTCTCCAAGCATAATTTAAACCTCTTTTGTTTTAGATACCCGAATACTGAAAACTGACAGCATGTGACAATTTATTTCGTCGGCTTGTAATGATCTCCATTTCAGTTGCATATCTTAAAATCACAAGCTCCAGTTTTTTTGTTTGTTTGTTTTTTGTTTTTGTTTCTTTGTTTGTTTTGAGATGGAGTTTTGCTCTTGTCATCCAGGCTGGAGGGCATTGGTGTGATCTTGGCTCACTGCAACCTCTGCCTCCTGAGTTCAAACAATTCTCCTGCCTCAACCTTCCAAGCAGCTGGGATTACAGTCATTCGCCACAACGCCCAGCTAATTTTCGTATTTTTAGTAGAGATGGGGTTTCACCATGTTGGCCAGGCTGGCCTCAAACTCCTAACCTCAGCTGATCCACCCACCTCGGCCTTCCAAAGTGCTGGGATTACAGACATGAGCCACACTGCCTGGCCACAAGCTCCAGTTTTACGGAGATCTTCTATTATTGGAAATGTGAACCTTTTCTAAACTTTCTTCTGATTTCTGCAGTAAGTTATTTTCAATAATATGATTTACTTGAGTCTCAAAAATTATGTGCTGTTTCATTTATGGCATGTGAGGTCCCATTTTCCCATTTTATTTTTGAATTATAAACGGCAACATCAGTTATCATGTGAAAACCAGCAGATGTATTGAAGATTAAATTTGGTTATATACTTTGTCTAGTTGTGCAGTCAACAAATCCTCTTTTCAGACCTACTGCTAGGCAGGGAAATTTATTTCAACTTCCAGTTACTAATGAGATTATACAAATTATCTTTCTTCTATAGGAGAAGTAGCATCTTCCTTTCAGTCCATATTATAGATTCTCTATTATTCCTGTGTGGTGGATGCAAAACCACTTGGATGGAATAGTGCTAGAGATTGCCTCTTTCTCCATTCCTACTTCAGGAATTTTATTGGTTTTAAATTGCATATCCCATAATAAGCCATTAATTTATTTATCTAGTTCTACTTCCTTATTTTTAGAAACAAAAAAATTAAATTGATCAAAAATATAACATGATATATACTTGCAGAATATTTGATGAAAAGGTCATATTGATAGAGTGCTGGAGATTTTGTTGGTTGTCATAGTATTTCTAGAAGGATGTTGGGCAGAACGTAACAAAAGTGATACAAAATATTGGAAGCTATTTGAACTGATAAAATTACACTTATTGCTACAAAGGAATGATTAGAGATATTCAGAAAGCTTTAAACTATGCATATATTTAGTATTATATATATCAGTAAGATTTTAGATTGAATTTAAATATTTAAAACAAAGACATTCAAAAATAATTATGGGATAAAATGAAATAATTACATTTATGGGTTTATAAATATTTCTTGAAAATCTTGTTATAAATGAGATTCATTAGCATGCCAAAATATTCAAAAGTAAAGTTAAATGAAATGAGATTAGGTTAAAATATTAAAACAAAGAACTGATAATAATATAAAAGATAGAAGATAGATTATATTTTGAGATAGTGATATTTTCTCTATATATTTTGAGGTGTTTTCTATATTTTCTATAATAAGTATAGATTACATTCATCAAATAAAAATTATGATAAAATTACTGCAATAATTTGTTGGGGCTAAGTGGTTTTCTAATTTTACTTATAACTTTTTTCTTAATTTGTTAGGAGCACATATTGAAGAGAATGTAAAATTCAATATACTGGTCCGATACATTGTTAACTATGGACTTTATTGGTCTTCACCTCTTCCTATATTGATGCTATGATAAAACCTTACTTCAATATCACAGCAGTGACCAGTTTCTTTGTGTATTATGGTTTCACAATATAAGATAAATTAAGTAAAATTAATTATATTAAATATTTTTATATAGTTACCAATAGGGACAATTGAAGATGTGCATATTCATTAGTTGCCTCTGTGTGTGTGTGTGTGTGTGTGTATGTGTGTCTGTGTCTATGTGTGTCTGTGTGTGTATTTGACTATATTTCCTGGAGACATAAATATGACTCAACTTTTTTTTTTTGAGACGAAGTCTTGCTCTTGTCGCACAGGCTGGAGTGCAATGGCACGATCTCAGCTCACTGCAACCTCTGCCTCCCCAGTTCAAGTGATTCTCCTGTCTCAGCCTCCCCAGTAGCTGGGATTACAGGTGCCTGCCATCTCTCCCAGCTAAATTTTGTATTTGAACTCCTGCCCTCAGGCCATCCGCCCGCCTCGCACTCCCAAGACTCAACATTTTGTGCTTCATTATATCATATTTTCTATTTAGTAGAATTGTTTCTTTAAATTTTCAATTAAATCTTACATTTAAAACAAATTATATTAGACCTATTATTTGAGTTCCTGAAAAGATTATACAGGTTAAAAAGATCATACAGTTTTTAAATGAAAAAATTAGCAACACTATCAGTATTATATTCAAAAATGTATATTTTCAATTAAAACTGAGAATAATGCTGGTGTATAAAATATATTATAAATGAATACTCATGTATGTATATTAGAGCGTGTCTTTTAAAATCGTATTAAAATATGCTAATAAATATGCATGATGTTTATAGATTTCTTATATTGAAATTCAGACAATAAAGTAAATAGCATACAATTTTATAATACAATCATATACAAATATGATTATATACAACATTGATATTGATCATGTCTGTCAGTGCTACAAAAAGGTTTTCAAATACAGACTTTAAAAATGTGTTGGATAGCATATCATGTTGGTAGATTTTTTGTGTGTTTATATTATTTTAAAGTTAAATGGCTAATGTGGAATAATAAGTTTTAAAAAATGATTCATAATTTACTGTCAACTTATGTTGGTATATACGTCATGTTTATTGTTATTTTTTCATACTCTCAAGGTACTAAAAAGCACATCTGCTATCTAAATATTTTTATTGAAGTGCTGCAGAAATTGAAATTGTTTCTACTCCTGGACACTAAAATATCACCTGTTTTTGGTTAGTTAATTGAACTAGTAATTATTCTTGAACATGTGGGTTGGTTGTTTTCTGCCTGAAATAATTACCCAATGAAGCTTATACTGGGGCTATCAGCAGGAAGCTAACAATTGGGGTGTTGGTGAGAAGAATGTACATAACACTTCTGTGTCTGCTGCCAGATGGAGAAGCAGATGGGTGTGTAATACATGCAAAACTAACTACATGATCTAAAATCTGCTCACTACCCATTATCAACAAGGTCAAGGTTTCTGAAAATCAAATTTATCCAACCAACAGATTACTTAAAATTAGATAAGAACAGGTTTTCATTAATAAGTCTGTATTTTTACCTGCAAATCCTATTTGAGTCAAATAGTATACTTATTTCCTGTTACTAAAATGTGTACTAATGCTAATTTTCATAAATTTATAAAATTAATCAGGTAGTTACTAAAAAGAAAATGAGGCTACTTCTCAGTGTTTCTTTTATATGTCTTTTCCAGAGTAAAGATCTAAAAAATTAAATAATTAAATTTGATAAAAATATTTCCCTAAAGTGTGGTAAATAGAGATTTTAGTTTGAAGACAAATTTACATTTGTACTATGTAGGGCTGTGTATACATGAGCATATAAACACACAAGCATATGATTTATTAAAATTACTGCACTCTGCTATCCTAGAGAAAGAAGTTCAAATTTTTCCAACATAATTGTTTAATATACTCATTGGGATTTTAATCTTAATTACATGATTCGTATAAAAACATATTTAATGTTTAACATTAGTATAAAACATTAATTAATTAGTGTTACTCAAAGCAAAGTGCACTTATTTCAGATAATCCCTAGTTAAGCATCAAGTTTTCCTTATGTGTTTGTCATTACAAAGGAAAAAATAAACTATCAAAGAATATGTTCTTGTCACTAACTCAAAAAGGGAAGTTAATCATAACACTCAGAAAATAACACTCAAAAAGCACATATGTACATTCCCAGTAAACCTGGAAAGGAAAATCCAGATAGTTACATGCAAGGTCTGCTGCCTGAAGGTAGTAGCTGCTACAGCCATTCTAGTAGGAACACTTACCTAGTAATTTGGTTAACTGCTGGTGGTTGAGTGTGATCTAGCATGAGAACGAATAATCTCATGCTCAACTACCAACTAGCATGGGTTTTACTTCCAGGAGCCCCACCAGTTACTTCTTGTGAGGATCTAAGAAAGATCTTCTCATGGCTTTGACAAGTGGGTGGGTGTGGGGGGAGCGATTCTTCTGGAATATGCCCAGAGCCTTCTCCATTAACAAAAGCCTCCTCTCCAGTTCTTTACCAGAGCCTTACACAGCTGCATAAAAAGCATTTTTCCCACTCCAGGCCTCTACAGGCTTCTTGTCTTACCTAACTGGGAGGGAAGCAAAACAACATAAGAAGAACAGCTGCAAAGTTCAGAGGCCAAAGACACAAACTCACTAAATGAGACTTAATCATAAGATTATAGAATGTTCCTCCTTCATTCCATACTCTACCACAACACCAATAGAGTTTCACTGTAATGATATTGGATTGTAGGCAAAGGACCTGCAAGATGTATACTCTGTCTGAGAAGATGTCCATAGAGAAACCCAAAGTCAAGAGGGGAGATTAAACAAGGACACTGTAGGGATTTGAAGTATCAGGCATCTGTAGCTATGGTAATCATTAAAAAAATTCAGGCTCCTATTCAAATACATGCAATTTCTCACAGTAGAGGATTTTTTTTCGGTTACTCTTATCCAATACCACATGTTCAACTTTCAACAAAAAATTACAATAAATACAGAAAATCAAGGGCAAAAAAGTATGAAGATGCAAAGCAAGCATCAGAACCAGACTCAGATATGACACCAATGTTGAAATTACCAAGTAGGGAATTTGCAATAACTGTGATGATATGTTAAGGACTCTAGTGATTAAAGTAGGCAACATGTAAGAACAGATAGGTAATATAAGAAGAGAGATGAAAGTTCTAAAAAAGAATCACAAATAAATATTGGAAATGAAAAACATTATAATAATAGTGAAGAATGACTGGATGGACTCACAAGTACATGTGACACTGCTGAGGAAAGCATCACCGAGCTTAAGATAAATCAATAAAAACTTCTCATTTTAAAACGCAGAGGTAAAAAAATGCAGAAGAGATCATCCAAGACCTGTAAAAAATTTCCAAAAGACATAACATGCACCTAGTTAGGATGCCAGAAAAATAAGAAAGAGGAAATGAAAAGGAAGAAATATTTGAAGTAACAATGTCAGAGAACAATTCAAAGGTAATAACAGACCAAATCACAGTTACAGAAAGCTAAGAAACAACTACAATTAAAACACAAACACACAAACAAATAACTATACCTAGACAAACAATATTCAGACTACAGAAAATTAAGGTAGACTTTATGTAACTTTTCTTTGCCATAAAAGTTAAGAAGTTATCAGTTTAATATAATGTGTTATAACTGTAAGGTTTTTTTTGTAAACTTCATGGTAACCACAAAACAGAAACCTACAATAGATAGACCTAAAATAAATAGCACAGAATCAAAAAGTACCACTAGAAAAAAAATCACTTAATCACAAAGGAAGACAATAAGAAAGGAAGAAAGAAAGAATTATAAAGCAACCAGAAAACAGGGAGGAAAATGGCAGTAGTAACACTTAATCTACCCATAATAACCTTGAATGTAAATGAATTAAATTATCCTATTAAAAGACATAGAGTGATTGAATAGATAAAAAGACAAGACCCATCTATACGCTGCCTAAAGTACTCACTTCACCTCTAAAGACATGCACAGACTGAATATGAAAGGAGGGAAAAAAGAGTAGAACCAGCTATATTTATATCAGACAAAATAGACTTTAAGTGAAGAACAGTTAAAAGTAAAAGAAGGGCATAATAGAATAATAAAGGGGTCAATATAGCAAGAGTATAAAACTCAACATCCCACTGTCAGTCATAGACAGATAATTCAGACAGCAAATCAATGAAGAAACATTGGAGTTAAACTTCTCTGTAGATCAAATGGACCTAATAGACTTTTATAAATATTCCATCCAACAACTACAGAATACATGTTTTTCTCAATAGCACATAGGACATTTTCCAGAATAAACCATATGTTAGGTCACAAGATAAGTCTTAACAATTTTTTTAAATTAAAATAATATCAAACATCTTTTCTGACCACAACAAAATAAAACTGGAAACCAGTAACAGAAGGAACATTGGAAACGGTACAAATCCATAGAAATTAAATTAAATAATATGTTACTGAACAATAATTAGGTCAATGAAGAAATTAGAAACTTGTTGAGAAAAATAAAAATCGAAACACAGCGTATCCAAACATATAGGATACAGCAAAAGCAGTTCTAAAAGGAAAGTTTATAGAAATAAATACGCACATCAAAAAAGTAGAAAGACTTCACATAAACAACCTAATGATACACCCAAAGGAACCAGAACAGCAAAAACCAACTAAACTCAAAATGAATAAGACTGAAAGAAACAAATATTATAGAAGAAATAAATAAAATTGAGGCTAAAAAATAAAAAAAAAAACCCCATCAAATCAAAAAGTTGGTATTTGAAAAAAAATAAACAAAATAAACAAACCTTTAGCTGGAACTAAATAAGAAAAAAGAGACATTACAACTGATACTATAGAAATGCAAAGGACTATTAGAGTCTATTATGAACGACTATATGCCAACAAATTTGAAAGCCTAGAAAAAATAAATTCCTGAACACATATGACCTATCAAGATTGAATCATGAGGAAACAGAAAATCTGAGCGGACTAATAAAGAGTAACAACATTGAAGCAGTAATAAAAAGTCTTATATAAAAAGACCAGAGGTGACTGCTAAACTCTACCAAATATTTAGAGAATATCTGGTGTTAATTATACTGAAACTATTTCAGAAAATTTCAGGGGAGAGAATATTTCTAAACTCATTCTATGAGGCCAGATTTGCCATGATACCAAAACCAGACAAGAACACAACAGAAAAACAACCCAATATCACTGATGAACATAAAAGCAAAAATTATCAATAAAATATTAACAAACAGAATGCACCAATACATTAAAAGTTTATTCATCAGGATAAAGTGGGATTCATTCCAATGATGGAAGAATAGTTCAACATACCCAAAACCAATAAATGTGATGGATAACATGAACACAATCATGTACATTTAATAAAATTCAATATCTATTTATGATAAAAACTCCCAGTATACTAAGTATAGTAGGAACATACCTTAAAACAATAAAACCACATATGACAAACCCACAGCTAACATCATACTAGACAGGGAAAAATTGAAAGCCTTTCTGCTGGGATCTGAAAGAAGACAAGGATGCCCACTTTCACTACTTTTATTCAACATATTATTGGATGTTCTAGCCAGAGCACTTGGGCTAGGGGGAAGAAAAAGAACATCAAAATTGGAAAGAAAGAAGTCATATTAGCCTTGTTCACAGGCAACATGATCCTACATTTAGAAAAACCTAAAGACTGATAAACGAATTTAGTAAAGTTGCAGATAGTAAAGAAATACAAACATCAATCACATTTCTATACACCAACAGTAAAGAATCTGAAAAATAAATCAAGAAAGCAATCTCGTTTACAATAGCTATTGAAAATAATAAAATACCTAAGAAAAAAATTAATAAAAGAAGTGAAAGATCTGTGCAAGAAAAACTATTAAGCACTGATGAAAGAAATTAAAAGGGAAATTAAAAAATAGAAAAATATCTTATGCTCATGGAGTGAAAGAATTAATATTGTTGAAATGTCCACACAACCCAAAGTGATTTACAGATTGAGTGAAGACCCTATTAAAATGCCAATGGCATTTTTCACATAAATAAAATAAGTAACTCTAAAATTTGTATGGAATTACAAAAGTCATCAAATGGCCAAATCAATCCTGAGGAAGAACAAAGTTAGAGGCATCAGCTTATCAGACTTCAAAGTATACTACAAAGCTATAGTAACTAAAACAGCATGTTATTGGCATAAAAGTAGACATACAGACCAATGGAACAGAACAGTTAATTCAGAAATAAATACACACACTTACTGCCAACTCATTTGTGACAAAGGTTCCCAGAACATATATTGGGGAAAGAACAGTCTCTTCAATAAATAGTGCTAGCATATGCAAAAGAAACTAGACTCCTAGTTCTTGCTATATACAAAAACCAAATAGAAAATGGATTAAAGACCTAAGTGTAAGTCTTGCAAATGGGAAACTACTAGAGGGAAACTTTGGGGAAACATTTCAAAACATTAGTATGGGCAAATATTTTTTATAACACCTGAAAAGCATAAGCAACAATAGCAAAAATAGGCAAATGGGATTACTTCAAGCTAAAAAGTTTCTACACAACAAAGGAAGCAATCAACAGGATGAAGAGACAATCTACAGAGTGGGACAAAAAGTTTGCAAATTATCTATCTGACAAAGGCTTCATAACCAGAATATACAAGGAACTCAAACAACTCAACAGCAAAAAATTAAATAAATAAATAAAAATTTAAAAAAACTTTAAAATGCACAAATTACCTGAAAATACATTTTACAAAAGAAGACATGCAAATGGACAAAAGATATATTAAACAATATTCAACATTACTAATCATTAGGGACATGCAAATCAAAACCTTAATGACATATCATGTAATCCCAGTTAGAATAGCTATTATCAAAACAACAGAAAATAAGAAATGTTGGCAAGAATGAAGAGAAAAAAGAATGCTCATATGTCATTGGTGGGATTGTAAATTAGTACACCACAATGGAAAATAGCATGAAGCTTCCTCAAAAATTAAAAAAAATTAATCACCATAAAATTCAACAGTCTAACTGCTGGGTATATATCCAAAAGAAAGGAAATCAGTATATTAGAGAGACATCTGTACTTCCATGTTTATTACAGCACTATTTATAATAGCCAAGATGTGGAAGCCGCTTGTGTTCATCAACAGTTGAATGAATAAAGAAATTTTTTTTTTATATATATAAAATGAAATATTATTCAGCCGTAGAAAAGACAGAAATGCTGTTATTTGTAGCAACATAGAACTGGTGGGCATTATGTAAATGAAATAAGCCAGGCATTGAAAGATGAATATCGCATGTTCTCATTCATATGTGGGAATTAAAAAAAAATTATCTCACGAAGGTAGAGAGTATAATGATGGTTACCAGCAGTTGCAAAGAATAGGAAGGAGGAGTAATAAAGAGAATTGTTTAATGGGTCCAAAAATACAGTTAGAAAAGTGTTCAACAGCACAGTAGGGTGACAAAAGTTAACAATAATTTCTTGTGTATTTTAAAATAGCTGGAAGAGAAGATTTGGAATGCTGTAAACACAAAGAAATAATAAATGTTTGAGATGATAGATATCCTAAATACCCAGGTTTTATCACAATACTTTGAATGCATGTATCAAAATATCACATGTATCCCATAAAAAATGTACAATTATGATGTATGAATGAAAAACTGTGCCCTTCATAGGTAAAAAAGATATTAAGACATTTCCAGATAAGCAAAAGCTGAGGCCATTTGTTACTACCAGGCCTTCCCCGAGAGGAATGCTTAAGAGAGTCCTGCAGGATAAAATTAAAGGACACTAGAAAGTGACTAGAAGCCATAAAAAGAAGTAAAAAATTTCAATAGAGGTAAATACATGGGCAAATATAAAAGCAACATTATTTTAACAATAGTTTGTAACATCACTTCTTGTTTTCTACATGATTTAAAAGACTGATACAGATGGGTGCAGTGGCTCACACCCATAATCCCAGCATTTTGGGAGGCTGGGGCAGGCAGGTCACTTGAGAAGGGGGTTAGTGACGAGCCTGGGCAACATGGCAAAACCCCATTTCTACTAAAAATGCAAAAATTAGCTGGGCGTGGTGGCGGGTGCCTGTAATCCCAGCTACTTAGGAGGCCATGGCACGATAATTGCTTGACCTAGGAGGCAGAGGTTGCAGTGAGCCGATATCATGCCACTTCACTCCAGCCTGGGCAACATAGTGAGACTCTGTCTCAAAATAAAAGATTTAAAAAAAAAATGAATACTTTAAAAAAATAAGTACTTTAAATTCTAGTAGGATTATAAATTTTAACTCCATATTTTGTTTTCTACATAATTTAAGTGACTTATGCATTTAAAACTATTCTTAGTTTATGTTTTGGGTGACATCAACAACTGAAAAGGTGGGGGACAGAGCAGACCAGACAAAAGACCAAAGTTGTTGTATGTCATTGAAGTTAAGCTTGTATACATTTGAGATAGAGTGATAACTCTAGAATGTTAAATATATTCACAAATTTGTAAATCGTAAGCACAAATAAAATAGTTATACAGTATATTCAGGAAAAGGAAATGAGAAAGAGTTTGGGTGCAGTGGCTCACACCTGTAATCCCAGCACTTTGGGAGGCCGAGGCAGGTTTATCACTTGAGGTCAGGAGTTTGAAACCAGCCTGGCCAACATGGTGAAACCCCGTCTCTACTAAAAATGCAAAAATTAACCAGGTGTAGTGGTGCATGACTATAATCCCAGCTACTCGGGAAGCTGAGGCAAAAGAATTTCTTGAACCTGCGGGGCAGAGATTGCAATGAGCTGAGATTGTGCCACTACACACCTGTCCAGCCTGGGTGACAAAGTGAGACTAGCAGAATGGATAACATAATATGATGCAACTATATGCTGTCTATAAGACTCACTTTAGATCTAAAGACACAATGATTCAATGCAAAAGGATAGAAAAAGGTATTACATTACATTAACTTGGGGTGGTGGCGCACACCTGTAATGCCAGCTACTTGGATAGCTGAGGCATGAGAATTTTTTGAGCCCAGGAGGTGGAGGTTTCAGTGTGTTATATTATTACTAACCAAAAGAGAGCAGGGTAACTATACCAATATCAAATAAAACACACTGACTTTGTCAAAAGCAAAAAATGGTTACAAAAGACAAAGAAGTATATTATATGTTAATAAAGGGTTCAATACAACAAGTAACAACAATAATAAAACCTTAGGCACTTAATGAGAGAGCATCTAAATATACAAAATGAAAAATGATAGAACTAAAGGAAGAAATAGACAGTTCTACAGCAGTAGTTGGCAACTTGATACCCCACTGTCGATAATAGATAGAACAACCAGAGAGAAGTAAGAAAATAGAGGACTTAACACAATGAACTGTCAAGATCTGAAGGACACAGACTGAACATACACGTTTCGCTTTCCTGAATGCTCATGAGACATTTTCCAGGACAAACCATATGGAGAGCCACATATTAAGTCTCAACACATTTTAAAAGAGAGGTAACATACACGGCTTCATCTTTGACCTCAAAACTATGTTAAAAATCATTAGTCAAAGTAAAACTGGAGAATTCACCAATTTGTATTAACAGAAATCACACAACATATTCTTAAACTATCAAAGAAGAAATAACAAGGGAAATTAAAAAATACTTAGAGATGAATGAAAACAAAAAACACATTATATCAAAATTTAAAGGCTGCTGCAAAGACAGTGTTAAGGGAAAAAAATGGAGATGTAAATGGTTACATTAAAAAACAACAAAGACGTCAAATTAACAATTTAGCTTTACAACTTAAGAGACTAGAAAAAGAACAATCTAATCCCAAGGCTCTTGGAAGAAAGGAAATAATATATATTACAGCTGACAAAGCAAAATAGAAAATTAAAAAAAATTGAGAATATCACTGAAACCACAGTTGGTTCCTTGAAAATAGCAACTATTGGGCGAACATTTAGCCAGATGGACTAAAATTAATTAATTAATTAATTACATTTTTTTAAAAAAGAGACACAGAGTGAGATGAGTGAAATTACTAAAATTAGAAATGAAAATTGGAATATTACTATCTATCATACAGAAATAAAAAGAATTATGATAATATGCTATGAATAACTTATACCAACAAATTGAATAACCTGGATGAAGAGGACAAATTTCTAGAAACACAAAACCTATTAAGATGAATAGAAAGCCCCAATAAATCTATAAAAAGAAGAAAAAAATGAGTCGGTATTCAAAACCTCATCACAAAGAAAAGCCCTGGACATGATGGCTTTACAGAGTAATTCTGCCAAACATTTAAAAAACTAGCATCAATAATTCTCAAACTTGAAGAAGGAAGACATCCAAACTGATTTGATGAGGTCTGCATTATCTTGATATTGAAGGCAGACAAAGACACAGCAAGAAAGAAAGCCACAGACCAATATTCCTTACAAACAGTGATGCAAAAAAAAAAAAAAAAAGTCCTTAACAAAATACTAGCAAACTGAATTCACCAGCATATTAAAGGATTTTACACTATGACCAAGTGGGGTTTATTTCTGTAATGCAAAGATGTTTCAGCATACAAATTCATCAATGCAATACACTACATTACTAGAATGATGGAAAAACCCACATAATTATCTCAATCGATGCAGAAAAAGCATTTGACAAAATTTAACACCACTTCATGACAAAAGCACTCAACAAGCTAGGAATAAATGGAAACTACCTCAATGTAATAAATGCTGCACGTGAAAAACTCATAGCAAACATCATACTAAATGGTGCAAGACTGAAAGCTTTTCCTCTATACTCATGAATTCCTGATTTTGCCACTGACATTCAAGATAGTATTGGAAGTTCTAGTCAGGGCAACTCAGCAAGGAAAAAAAATAAAAGGCATCTAAATTGGAAAAAATAAAATTAAGTTTGTTTGCAGATGATATAATCTTATATTTAGAAATTCCTAAAGATTTCACACAAAAACCGTTTGAACTAATAAATGAATTCAGCAGAGCAGGATACAAAGTTAACACAACAATAATTGACATATCTATACACTAACAATGAGTAACTTGAAAAATAAATTATGAAAATAGATTTATATACAATAGCATCAAAGAATAAAATACTCAAAAATTAACCAACGAAGTGAAAGACTTCTTCAATGAAAACTAGAAAACATTTATGGAAGAAATTGAATAAGAGATAAATATATGAAAACACATTCAATGCTCATGGATCAGAAGAGATACAACTGTTAAGATGCCAATACTATGCAAAGCAATCTACAGATTTAATGCGATCCCTATCAAAATCCCAATAACGCTTTTTGAAAATATTTTTTTAAAGTCGTAAAATTTATATGGAATCTAAAGGGATCCCAAAATACCAAATAATCTTGAAAAAGAAAATAAAAGTGGAGGACTCATACTTGCCACAAACTTACTACAAAGCAATATTAACAAACCATGTGGCACTGGCATAAAGAGAAATATATAGATCAATTTAATAAAATAGAGATTACAGACATAAACCCTCACATATATGGTCAAATCATTTTTGACAAGTGTGTCAGTACAATTCTTTTGGGAAAGGACAGTCTTTTAAACACATGCTGTTAGGAAACAGGATGTTCATATGCAAAAGAATGAAGTTGGATTCTCACTTAATACTGTAAACAAAAATTAATGTACAATGGATTAAAGACTTAAATCTAAAACCTAACACTAGAAATCACTTAGGAGAAAATAGAGCAACTCTTCAGGACAACTGATTTGGCCAAGTTTTTTTTTTTTTTTTTTTTTTTTTTTTTTTTTTTTACATGTGACAACAAAGGCATAGACAACAAAAAAAGTAGACAAATGGTATGTCATTAAGTTTTTTTTAAAATGTGCATTAAAAACCTGTATCATCAAAGTAAAAAAGCAACCCACAGAGCGGGAGAAAACATTTTCAAGTTTTGTGTCTAATAAGTGATTAATATCCACAATATGTAGAGAATTCATAAATCTCAACAAAAACAAAAAGCAAACCCAATTCAAAAACTGGTGAAGGACTTGCATAAACACATCTCCAAAGGAGATATTCAAATCGCCAATAAGCACATGAAAAGCTCAAACTCACTAATCATTAGGGAAATGCAAATCAAAATTATAATGAGATGCCACTTTGCACCCATTAGGATGGCTACTATTTAAAAAAAAAAAATACCCAGCACTTTGGGAGGCCAAAGCAGGCTGATCACCTGAAGTCAGGAGTTCAAGACCAGCCTGGTCAACAGGGTGAAACCCTATCTCTACTAAAAATACAAAAATTAGCTGAACGTGGTGGTGGGCACTTGTAATCCCACCTACTCAGGAGGCTGAGGCAGGAGAATTCCTTGAACCCATGAGGCAAAGTTTGCAGAGAGCCGAGATCATGCCATTGCACTCCAGACAGGGTGACAGAGAGAGACCCAGTCTCACAAAACAAACAAACAAACAGAAACAGAAAATAACAAGTGGTGGCAAAGATGTGGAAAAATTGGAACCCTTATACTCTGTTGTTGATGTCAGAGGTGTGTGAACCAGAGCAACTCTATCTTGAATAAGACTGTGATCTACTGGGCTGCATTCCCAGAGGGTTAAGGCATCTAAGTCACAGGATGAGATAGGAGGTTGGCACAAGATACAGGTCATAAAGATCTTGCTGATAAAACAGGTTGCAGCAAAGAAGCTGGCTAAAACCCACCAAAATCAAGATGGTGACAAGAGTGATCTCTGGTCATCCACACAGTTTACAAACGCCATTGAAATGATAGGAAGTTGCTTTATGGTCTAAAAAGAGAAGGCATGAATAATCCAACCCTTGTTTAGCATATCATCAAGAAATAACCATAAAAATGGCAACCAGCAGCCCCCGGGGCTGCTCTGTCTATGGAAGAGCCATTCTTTTATTCTTTTTTTTCTTTTTTCTTTTTTTATTGTTTGTTTGTTTTTGTGGTTTTGTTTTGAGACAGAGCCTTGCCCTGTTGCCCAGGCTGGAGTGCAGTGGCGCGATCTTGGCTCACTGCAAGCCCCGCCTCCTGGGTTCACACTATTCTCTTGCCTCAGCCTCCCGAGCAGCTGGGACTACAGGCGCCCGCCACCACGCACGGCTAATTTTTTGTATTTTTAGTAGAGATGGCGTTTCACCCTGTTAGCCAGGATGGTCTCGATCTCCTGACCTCATGAACCACCCTCCTTGGCCTCTCAAAGTGCTAGGATTACAGGCATGAGCCACAGCGCCCGGCCTTCCTTTACTAAACTTGCTTTCACTTTATGGACTCACCCTGAATTCTTTCTTAAGCCAGGTCCAAGAACCTTCACTTGGTGTCTGGATCAGGACCTCTTTCCTGTAGCAGAGAGAATGTCAAGTGGTTATGCCACTGTGGAAAACAGTATGGCAGTTCCTCAAAAAGTAAGCATTTAAAAATTTCGTTACCATATGTTCCAGCAATACTGCTTCTCGGTATATATCTAAAATAATTGAACAGAAGGTATTTAAGATATATTCGTACAACCATGTTTGATAGAAGCATTATTCACCATAGCTAAAATGTAGGAGCAAGCCAAATATCAGTTGGTAAATGAATGGATAAACAAAATATGGTGCATACTGTCAGGCCTCTGAGCCCAAGCCAAGCCATCGCATCCCCTGTGACTTGCATGTATACGCCCAGATGGCCCAAAGTAACTGAAGAATCACAAAAGAAGTGAATATGCCCTGCCCCACCTTAACTGATGATATTCCACCACAAAAGAAGTGTAAATGGCCGGTCCTTGCCTTAAGTGATGACATTACCTTGTGAAAGTCCTTTTCCTGGCTCATCCTGGCTCAAAAAGCTCCCCCACTGAGTACCTTGCGACCCCCACTCCTGCCCGCCAAAGAACAAACCCCCTTTGACTGTAATTTTCCTTTACCTACCCAAATCCTATAAAACGGCCCCACCCCTATCTCCCTTTGCTGACTCTCTTTGGACTCAGCCCGCCTGCACCCAGGTGAAATAAACAGCCTTGTTGCTCACACAAAGCCTGTTTGGTGGTCTCTTCACAGGGACGCGCATGAAATTTGGTGTCGTGACTCAGATCGGGGGACCTCCCTTAGGAGATCAATCCCCTGTCCTCCTGCTCTTTGCTCTGTGAGAAAGATCCACCTACGACCTCAGGTCCTCAGACCGACCAGCCCAAGAAACATCTCACCAATTTCAAATCCGGTAAGCGGCCTCTTTTTACTCTCTTCTCCAGCTTCCCTCACTATCCTTCAACCTCTTTCTCCTTTCAATCTTGGCGCCACACTTCAATCACTCCCTTCTCTTAATTTCAATTCCTTTCATTTTCTGGTAGAGACAAAGGAGACACGTTTTATCCGTGGACCCAAAACTCCGGCGGCGGTCACGGACTGGGAAGGCAGCCTTCCCTTGGTATTTAATCCTTGCAGGGACACCTCTCTGATTATTCACACACATTTCAAAGGTGTCAGACCAAGCAGGGACACCTGCCTTGGTCCTTCACCCTTAGTGGCAAGTCCCGCTTTTCTGAGGAAGGGGCAAGTACCCCAACCCCTTCTCTCCTTGTCTCTACCCCTTCTCTGCTTTTCTGGGGGAGGGGCAAGTACCCCTCAACCCCTTCTCCTTCACCCTTAGCGGCAAGTCCCGCTTTTCTAGGGGGCAAGAACACCCAATCCCTTATTTCTGTGCCCCACCCTCTTATCTCTGTGCCCCAATTCCTTATTTCCATGCCCCAACCCTTTCTCTGCTTTTCTGGAGGGCAAGAACCCCCCACCCCTTCTCCGTGTCTCTGCTCTTTTCTCTGGGCTTGCCTCCTTTACTATGGGCAAGCTTCCACCTTCCATTCCTCCTTCTTCTCCCTTAGCCTATATTCTTAAGAACTTAAAACCTCTTCAACTCTCATCTGACCTAAAATCTAAGCATCTTATTTTCTTCTGCAATGCCGCTTGACCCCAATACAAACTCGACAGTAGTTCCAAATAGCCGGAAAATGGCACTTTCAATTTTTCCATCCTACAAGATCTAAATAATTCTTGTCCTAAAATTGACAAATGGTCTGAGGTGCCTGATGTCCAGGCATTCTTTTACACATCAGTCCCTTCCTAGTCTCTGTGCCCAGTGCAACTCGTCCCAAATCTTCCTTCTTTCCCTCCCACCTGTCCCCTCAGTCCCAACCCCAAGCGTAGCTGAGTCTTTCTAATCTTCCTTTTCTACAGACCCATCTGACCTCTCCCCTCCTTGCCAGGCCAAGCTAGGTCCCAATTCTTCCTCAGCCTCTGCTCCTCCACCCTGTAATCTTTTTATCGCCTCCCCTCCTCACACCTGGTCCGGCTTACAGTTTCATTCTCTGACTAGCCCTCCCCCACCTGCCCACAATTTACTCTTAAAAAGGTGGCTGGAGCCAAAGGCATAGTCAAGGTTAATGCTCCTTTTTCTTTATCCCAAATCAGAAGCATTTAGGCTCTTTTTTATCAAATATAAAAACCCAGCCCAGTTCATGGCTCGTTCGGCAGCAACCCTGAGATGCTTTACAGCCCTAGACGGTAAAATGTCAAAAGGCCGTCTTATTCTCAATATACATTTTATTACCCAATCTGCCCCGGACATTAAATAAAACTCCAAAAATTAGAATCTGGCCTTCAAACCCCACAACAGGACTTAATTAACCTCTCCTTCAAGGTGTACAATAATAAAAAAAAAAGTTGCAATTCCTCGCCTCCACTGTGAGACAAACCCTAGCCACATCTCTAGCATACAAGAACTTCCAAACGCCTGAACCGCAGAGGCCAGGTGTTCCTTCAGAACCTCCTCCCCCAGGAGCTTGCTACAAGTGCCAGAAATCTGACCACCAGGCCAAGGAATGCCTGCAGCCCAGGATTCCTCCTAAGCCGTGTCCCATCTGTGCGGGACCCCACTGGAAATCGGACTGTTCAGCTCACCTGACAGCCACTGCCAGAGCCCCTGGAACTCTGGCCCGAGGCTCTCTGACTGACTCCTTCCCAGATCTTCTTGGCTTAGTGGCTGAAGACTGATGCTGCCTGATCGCCTCGGAAGCCCCCTAGACCATCACGGACGCCAAGCTTCAGGTAACTCTCACAGTGGAAGGTAAGCCCATCCCCTTCTTAATCAATACGGAGGCTACCCACTCCACATTACCTTCTTTTCAAGGGCCCGTTTCCCTTGCCTCCATAACTGTTGTGGGTATTGACGGCCAGGCTTCTAAACCTCTTAAAACTCCCCAACTCTGGTGCCAACTTAGACAGTACTCTTTTAAGCACTCCTTTTAGTTATCCCCAGCTGCCCAGTTCCCTTATTAGGCTGAGACACTTTAAATCATCTGCTTCCCTGACTATTCCTGGACTACAGCTATATCTCATTGCCACCCTTCTTCCCAATCCAAAGCCTCCTTTGCATCCTCCTCTTGTATCCCCCCACCTTAACCCACAAGTATAAGATACCTCTACTCCCTCCTTGGCGACCGATCATGCACCCCTTACCATCTCATTAAAACCTAATCACCCTTACCCCACTCAACGCCAATATCCCATCCAGCAGCACGCTTTAAAAAGATTAAAGCCTGTTATCACTCGCCTGCTACAAAATTGCCTTTTAAAGCCTATAAACTCTCCTTACAATTCCCCCATTTCACCTGTCTTAAAACCAGACAAGCCTTACAAGTTAGTTCAGGATCTGCGCCTTATCAACCAAATTGTTTTGCCTATCCACCCTGTGGTGCCCAACCCGTACACTCTTTTGTCCTCAATACCCTCCTCCACAACTCACTATTCCGTGCTTGATCTTAAAGATGCCTTTTTCCACTATTCCCCTGCACCCCTCGTCCCAGCCTCTCTTTGATCTTTGCTGGCAGGACTATGCCGAATCTCCTTAAGCACTCTCTAATCAGATATCCTAAGTGGTCCCAATTCTTAGACCTTTTATACCTGTTTTTCTCCTTCTGTTATTCCATTTAGTTTTTCAATTCATACAAAACCGTATCCAGGCCATCACCAATCATTCTATACAACAAATGTTTCTTCTAACATCCCCACAATATCACCCCTTACCGCAAGACCTCCCTTCAGCTTAATCTCTCCCACTCTAGGGTCCCACGCCGCCCCTAATCCCGCTTGAAGCAGCCCTGAGAAACATCGACCATTCTCTCTCTCGATACCACCCCCCAAAAATTTTCGCCGCCCCAACACTTCAACACTATTTTGTTTTGTTTTTCTTATTAATATAAGAAGGCAGGAATGTCAGGCCTCTGAGCCCAAGCCAAGCCATCGCATCCCCTGTGACTTGCACATATATGCCCAGATGGCCTGAAGTAACTGAAGAATCACAAAAGAAGTGAATATGCCCTGCCCCACCTTAACTGATGACATTCCACCACAAAAGAAGTGTAAATGGCCGGTCCTTGCCTTAAGTGATGACATTACCTTGTGAAAGTCCTTTTCCTGGCTCATCCTGGCTCAAAAATCACCCCCACTGAGCACCTTGCAACCTCCACTCCTGCCCTCCAGAGAACAAACCCCCTTTGACTGTAATTTTCCTTTACCTACCCAAATCCTATAAAACGGCCCCACCCTTATCTCCCTTTGCTGACTCTGTTTTCGGACTCAGCCTACCTGCACCCAGGTGAAATAAACAGCCATGTTGCTCACACAAAGCCTGTTTGGTGGTCTCTTTACACGGACGCGCATGAAACATACAAACAACAGAATATTTTTCAGCCTTAAAGCTGTTGACAAAAAGAGTGAAACTTGGTAAAATATTTTAAGAGATTTATTCTGAGTCAAATATGAAGGACCATGGCCCATGACACAGCCCTTAGTAGGTCCTGAGAACATGTGTCCAAGGTGGTTGGGGTGCAATTTGGCTTTATATATTTTAGGGAGGCATGAGATGTCAATCAAATAGATTTAAGAAATACATTGATTTGGTTCAGAAAGGTGGGACAATTCAAAGCTACAGGGGGGCAGGGGTGGGGGTTCCAGGCTATAGGTAAATTTAAACATTTTCTGGTTGACGATTGGTTGAGTTTGTCTAAAGACATGGGATCCATAGGGATAGAAAGGAATGTTCAGGTTAAAGATAAAGGATTGTGGAGACCAAGTTTTATCGTGCAGAGGAAGCTCTCAGCTGACTTCAGAGAGAGCAGTTTTTAAATTGTTTCTTACTCAGACTTAAAAGGGTGCCTGGCTCTTACTTGATTATCTCCTGGATTTGGAAAGAAAGGAAGGAAAACAAAAGGGGAAGCGGATTTTCTATAGAATGTGAATTTTTCCCACAAGAGACTTTGCAGAGCAATTTCAAAGTATGGCAAGGAAATATATTTTGGGGTAAAATATTTTTCCCTTGTCTCATAATGTTATGCCAGTGTCAGACTGAAAAGTAAGTCACAATATATAGGGTCAAATAAAACCCATCTGATGAGAATTTATGGTTTGTAGGGCATGACTCCCTAAACCCCTTAGGCAGGAATTTGGTAAGATAAAAAAATCTGAGCTTAGTCCTCAAGCAGTAGGAAGTTTTGATATAAGCTATAAGAAGGATAAACCTTGAAGACATTGTTATATGAAATAAGTCAGTCAGAAAAAGACAAATACTGTCTGAATCCACTTGTATGAGGTAGTCAAAATCATAGAGACAGAAGGCAGAACAGTGGTTGCCAATGACTTGGAGAAGGGGATAATGAGGAATTATTGTTTAATGGGTAGAGAGTTTCAGTTTATAACATGAAAAAAGTTATGGAGAGGGATTGCAGTGATGGCTGTATATTATGAATGTATTTAATACCACTACATTCTTTACTTAAAAATGGTTAAGATGGAAAATTTTATGCTATGTGTATTTTACATCAATAAAAACATTAGGAAAAGAAAGGAGGCAAACAACCCATTTGGTTTGCCTCTTGTTACACTATTTCCAACATTCTCAACTTGGATTTGGCCACTGAAGCATTTCAAGCTTACGTATGTGAGTCTAAAATAGCATGTGACAGTTAGCACTGTAAATACTACATGTCCTTGTAAACTGTAAAGAGCTGAGCAAATGTTGGTCATGCCGTTCTTCCGTGCGCTATGTTATGTGTTTATTGGTGTGCATATCACCAATGAATGCACTGCAGCAACCACCTGGAAGGTCTGAGTAAGCCTTTGTTCAATGTATAAATAAAAAACATGAGAATATATTGAGATAAACCAAGGCCCAGGAGAATGCTCAAATACAGAGAATGCTCAATCCCCTGAGAATTGCTAAATGGTCTCATTTTCTGAGTGCTTAACTGTTCACCAGGAGTTGTCCTAAGGGCATCATGCAGGCTCACAGAGGCCCCTTAATATAAGTGTTACTATTATCTGCGCCATCCTAGAGATAAAGAAACAGAACCAAAGAAAATTTAAGACACTACCCCAGGCTATACCCAAAGTAAGTGGCAGAGCTGAGATTGGAAAAGAGACTCCCCAGCTTTAAGTGGCAGAGCTGAGATTGGAAAAGAGACTCCCCAGCTTTGGAGTTCATTGTGCTAATCACTGTGCACTGCTGTTCTCTGAGAAGAGAGCTCAGCAATACGGATTTCAGATTTTGAAATTAAGTGGACATTTATAGCATCAAACATATATTTTAGTAATGATAAGTATGTGATACAGAGCAATTCCAAACTACTATAATCCTGAGTGGTGAAAAGAGCTCAGTGGGTTAGAATTGCAGTTCTACAACTTGAGAACTGTAGGTCTTGGGCATATCGCTGAGCTTCTCTAAGAAACAATTTTTTTTTTATACAAGGATGTTTCCTTGGAATCCTGGAAAGTTGGCATGTTAGTGAAAGCCCATTGCTCAACTTAGAGATGTCGCACATAATCATCCAATAAGTGTCACAGAGTATACGCTCAATAGATGGGAAAAATTTTACTTAAAAAATGTAGATTGTATGGATAAACTCTAGGCAAACAGTGACAACTTTTTTGAAGGAGATATAATGGAAACACTTAGAGGGGAGATAAGATGGAATTATAAAATGCTCAATTAAAAAAAGAAGATAGAAAAGGAAGTCGTAACTGGCACAGTGACTCACCAGCACTTTGGGAGGCTGAGGCAGGCGGATCACCTGAGGTCCAGAGTTTGAGACCAGCCTGACCAACATGGAAAAACCCCATCTCTACAAAAATACAAAATTAGCTGGGTGTGGTGGTGCATCCCTGTAATCCCAGCTACTCGGGAGGCTGAGGCAGGAGAACTGCTTGTACCTGTGAGGCAGAGGTTGCAGTGAGCCGAGATCGCGCCATTGCACTCTAGCCTGGCCAGCAAGAGTGAAACTCTGTCTAAAAAAAAGAAAAAAGAAATTCAGAACAATGAATAGAAACAATTACAAAAATGATTAACATTAATCTAAATATATCAATAATCATTTTAAATGTGAAAGATTGTAATTCATCAATTACAGAAAAATTGTCAGAATGATACAAAAACATTCCACATCACACAGCTATATGTTATCTACAAAACCCACTTTAAATATAAATATTCTGGTACAATGAAAAATAAAGTGTTTGATAAAGATATGATAGCACTAATCAAAAGAAAGTAACAGTAACTATATTAATTTCAGAAAAAGCAGACATCAGAAGGGAAATTATCAGTGATAAAGAGTAAAGGAGTCTATTCTTTAAGAATACCTAACACAAACAGATACGGTTCTAACAAAAAATCATCAAACAACCAGGGGTAAACACTGACAACAGTAGCAGGAGAAAGAGACAAATTCAATACAGAACATAGAGACTTCAACAACAGCTTGTAATTTACAAATCAAAAAGCCAGAAAATCTGGAAAGAAGTAATTGTCCTGAGCAACATTATCAATCAACTTGATCTAATTAAGTATTCTAGAAATACTTAATCCATAAACAAAAGAATACCTATTCTTCTCAAGTTTACAAGAAACATTTACCAGGACAGACAACATTCAGTGCCATGAACTACATGTAAAAAAATTAAAGTATGAGAAATCGAACAATAAACATTCTTAGAATACAAAGCACTCAAAGTTAAAATCAAAAACTGAAAGATACCTGGAAAATCTTCAGATATTTTAAAGATACACTTCTCAGTAAAACAAAAGTCAAAGAAGTACTAAGAAAAATGTTTAAATATTTTTGAACTAAATAAAAATCTAACCCATAAAAATATTGCATGCAACAAAAAGCAGTGCTTAAAAGGAAATGTATCACATTAAATGCCTATGTTAGAAAATAGAAAAGCTCAAAAATTAGTAACTGAAGCTTCCAGTTTGGTAAACAAAGAAAGAAGTCTAATTTAAGCTTAAAGCAAGCAAAAGAAAAGAAATAATTCACAATTAGCAGAAATTAATGAGACAAAAAACAAGACAATAGAGAAAATTAACAAAAACAATACTTGTTTTTTTTTTTAATCTAAGGATATTGACAATCCTCTATGTAGGCTAAATAAGAAAAAATATATATATATAAATTACCAAGATCACAAGTAAAAGGGGGATCATCACTACATATAGTATGAGCATTGAGTAGGATAAAATAGAAATATAATGAACAATATTTTTATGTCCACAAATCTGATAGAAGAAATGAACTAATTTCTTAAAATACGCAAACAACCAGAACTTTGACAAGGAGACATAGACAACCTGAATAGTCATGTAGCTATTAGAGAAACACAGCTGAATTCAACCAACCATTTAAGGAGAAAATGAGCTTAATTTTAAGAAATCACTCCCAGTAACTAGGAGCAGAGAAAATACTCTATAACGTATTCTGTTAGTCCAGTGTTATCCTAACATCAAAACAGATGAAGACTTCACAAGAAAGGAAAACTACAGGCTAATATCTCTCGTGAACATGAAAGCAAAAATACTCAAGGAAATATTAGAAATCAAATCCAACAATGTATAAAAATAAGTATACACCATGGCCAAGAGGGATTTATTCTAGGTATACAGAAATGTTTCAATATATTAAAATCAATCAATGTAATTCACATCAAGGATTAAAAAAAGGTCATATGATTATAGTAATTGATGCAAAAGAAATTGACAACATCTAATGCCCATGTATGTTAAAATTTCTTAGTTAAAGGAAAATAAAAAAAGTTCTTCAACTTGATTCTTAAAAATCTACAAAAATGAACTAACTTCATTTTTATGGTTAGACAATGAACACTTTCCCAGTATAGATTAGGAAAAAAGGAGGATGATTTCTCTCACTACGTCTACTCAACAATATACTGGACATTCTGAGCACCCCACCCCACCCACTGAAATAAATGGCATACCAATTGAGAAGGAAGATATTAATATGTTTCCTTTCAAAGATGAGATTTATCTACTTTACAAAAGCCCTAAGAATTAACAGGGTAACTCATGGAACTCATAAACAAGTATAACAAGGTTGTAGAACACAAGGTAAAACATACAAATGCCCATTGCTTTCTGTCAGCAATTGACAATTGGTATTTAAAATAAGAAATACCATTTATATTAATACCCCCAAATGAAACACTTAGGTATAATAAGTCTAGCAAAATATATACAAGAGCTATATGTGAAAACTTAAAACTCTGATTTAAAAAAGAAGCAGAGATTTCTATAAATAGAGAGTTCATATCCATATATTGAAAGACTCCATATTATTAAGATGCCAATTCTCTTAACTTGATACGTAGATTCGACTCAATCTCAAGGTAGAAAGACCTAGTGTAGCCAGCACAATACTAAAAAAGAGCTAATTTGGAAGATTTAAGGTAGCCAATTTCAAGAATTACTATAAGGCTACAGTTATCAAGACAGTGTGATACTGGAAAAGAAAAAGATCATTGAAGAGAATACAGAAATTGAAACAGACCAACATAAATGTAGTCAACTGGTCTTTCACAAAAGAGCAAGGGCAATTCAATAGAGAAATAGAAGGATTTTTAACACACAGTACTGGAATAATTGGATATATATATAGAGAGAGAGAGAGAGAGAAAATGCACCAATGAAATCGAACTTACACAAAAATCAGTTTAAAATACATCCTAAAATGAAAAAATATAAAACATCATGAAATAAACAGAGAAGAAAATCTACCTGGCCTTGGCTTTGCAGGTGAGTTTTCAAATATAAAAATAGCATAATTCATGGGCAAAAATTACAATATTGGACTTTACTAAAATTTTAAAAACATGGCCTTGTAAAAAAACACTAGCAGGAGGATAAAAAACAAGCCATGGACGGCCGGGCATGGTGGCTCACGCCTGTAATCCCAGCACTTTGGGCGGCCGAGGCGGGCGGATCACGAGGTCAGGAGATCGAGACCAGCCTGGCTAACACTGTGAAACCCCGTCTCTACTAAAAATACAAAAAAATTAGCCAGACGAGGTGGCGGGCGCCTGTAATCCCAGCTACTCGGGAGGCTGAGCCAGGAGAATGGCGTGAACCCGGGAGGCGGAGCTTGCAGTGAGCCGAGATCGCGCCACTGCAGTCCAGCCTGGGCGACAGAGCGAGACTCCGTCTCAAAAAAAAAAAAAAAAAAAAAAAGCCATGAACTTGGAGAAAATATTTGCAAAAGACATATCTGGTAAAGAATTTGGATCCAAAATAAACTAAAAATTCTTAAAACTTAACAAGAAGGAAGTGAATAGCCAAATTAAAAACAAAAAACAAGAGTTCTGAATCAACACCACCCTTAAAAAGACCTACAAATTAAAAAACAGTCATATAAAAGATGTTCAGCATTTTAATTAGAAAATTGCAAATTCTCTTAGATATAAATACTTAGGAGTGAAATTGCTGGGTAATAAATAGTACAACTTTATTTTTGATATTTTGGGAAAATGACAAACTATTTTGCAAAATGGCTGCATGTAATTTCTCCTTACTCTTTCAAATGTATGTGAATTTTTCTTTTTGATTTTAGCTATCTTAATGCTTATGAAGTAAAACCTCATTGTGATTTTGATTTGTATCTCCCTAATGACTAATTACACCATACATCTTTCTGTGTTCTAATTGATCGTGTGTGTGTGTGTGTGTGTGTTTGTGTGTGTTTGGTGAAATGTCTATTCAAATTATTTGTTTATTTTAATTGAGTTATGGTCATTTGTCTTTTTATTGTTGTAAGTGTTCTTTATATATTCTGAATACAAGTCATTTATCAGATATATGATTTTCAAGTATTTTCTTTCATTCTGTGGGCTGTCCTTGTTAATGGTATCCTTTGAAATCCATAGATATTGGATTCTGATGAAATCCAATTTACCTATTATTTCTTTTATTGTTTGTGCTTTCAGTGTTGTGGCTAAGAACCATTTCCTAATTCAAGGTTATGAAGGTTTACTCCTATGTTTTCTTCTAAAAATTTTGTAGTTTTAATGCTTACATTTAGATATCTGATCCATTTTAAATAAATTTTGGTAAATTATTTAAGGTTCCAACTTCTTTTGCATGTGACTATCTAGTTTTCCTACCATTATTTTTTGCATAGTCTATTCTTTTGCCACTGAATTAGATTGGCGTCCTTTTCAAAAATTGTTAACCATAATGTAAAGACTGATTCTGGAGTCTCAATTCTATTTCTTTAATCTACCTTTCTAGCCTTAAATCAGTATCATATCATCTTGAATATTGTAGCTTTCTAGTAAGTTTTGAAACCAAGAAGTGTGATTCCTCAAAGTTTGTTTTTGTACTTCAAGATTTTTTTTAATGCTATTTTGAGTTCCTTAAATTTTCATATGAATTTTACAATCAGCTTGTCAATTTCTGCAAAAAAAAAAAGGCTGGAATTTATAGGGATTTCATTGAATGTGTAGATCAATATGAAGAATATTTACAGCTGAATAATATCAAGCCTTACATTAAATGCAGGAGTGTGAATGTGGGGATATATTTCTACTATAAATTTTTTGAGATACGAATGTGGGGATATCTCTCTATTTTCTTTAATTTTTTCAATGATATTTGTGATTTTCAGACTTCCTCTTCAAATTTTTGTTAAAATTATTCCTGAATGTTTTATTCTTTTTGATGCTATTGTGAATGAAATTATTCTCTGACTTTGATCTTGGAATTATTTATTGCTATTGTTCAGAAAGACAAGTGAATTTTGTAGATTGATCTTTTATTCTGCAACATTGCTGAAATTGATTATTAGTGCTAATAGTTATGTGTGTGTATGCATATGTGTATTCTTTATGATTTTCCGTATACAGATCATGTCATTTTTAAATAAAGATATTTTTACTTCCTCCTTTCCAATTCAGAAGTCTTTTATTTCTTTTTCTTGCTGAATTGTCCTGGCTAGAACTTTTAGTACAATGTTAAGTAGAAAAAAACCGTGCATTTTAGCAAATAAATAACTTTTACTTTGAATACCTAATAACACATATTTTACTCATTGCAAAGGAGCAAGACCTGCTAATTTTTATTTAGCGTTGCAAAATCCGTAAAAGTCACCACTGGGTATTCATCCTTTTAATATTCTCTGGACTTAATCGTCAGCAATACAAAACTAGCTTTGCACACTGAAGTGCACAGCTCTTAACAAGGGATTAACGTGTAAAATAAGTTTTGTAATGAGATTGGTGATTTTAAAAAATAATCTTTATGATAATGTTCATATGAGTAATGGCCATATCTATTAATTCAAATAGCCTTGCTCAAGTATCTTCTCATATAAATGTATTCAGTATTTGAAATTGCCTAGGCTTATCACTTCAGAACCAATATATCAAAACTTTTATTACTAGCAATAATATATCAAGATTTCATAGCAAGACTGATTGGTAATGGAAGGAGATACATTGCCAACAGTTTTATGCATTTATTGTAGCCAATGATTTTCTTAAGTATTGTGGAAAATTGTTATACTTCTTTTTGTTTCTTCAGTTGACCATCCATATTCCCCTTGTTATGATAACCGAATCTTGATTTATCACCCAACTCTAACTCCATGTCTATGTCTTGGATGGAGTTTATTCTCACTAGCAGTGTGCGCATGATCTAGGTCCTTTTACAGTAGCGTATCCCCTTCCCTTGAGTTATTGATTTATACAGACAAATGAGGCCTTGCAAGCAATAATTTCAGATTTTTTAGTAATAATAAGATAGAACATTCCTTTTTCTTTTAGATTTAAAAACAGGGAGATACAAGCCAATAGCTACTACTAGACATGGGACGTATCAAGGAAAGACCTGGCCTGAGAATCCAACCAATTATTTATTAAGAATTCTATCCTCATTCTTTCTCAAGTTGAAATGTTCAAATTTATAAGTTCTTGACATCGTATTTCTGTTTAATTAGCAACTAATAGACTCAACTCTGAGTTATAAATTCTCTGTTTTATAGGAAGTGAAGTATAAGGGTTATCCACTTTCTTAAATAAAGATATCAAAGATAAAGAAACAAATAAACAAACAAAAAGCAACCAGTTATCTTGGTGAAAATCTTTAAAAATTCATTCATTCTTTCAATCAGTCCTAATACATTTATTGAATACCTACTACATGTCAGCCTGCCTTTTAAAACTGTAGATATAAGAGTAAGTAAGATAAATCCCTGGAAATAACGGAGCTTCTTTCCAATGTGAGAGGGTAAGACTATAAGGCAACAAATAAACAGATAGACTTTTTGGTGGTAAATGCTACGAAGAATAAATAAACACAGAAGGGATAGAATGTGAAGAATGGTACCATTTCAGATAGAATTGTAATCTGAGGAGGTTACATTTGAGCAGAAATTTGAAAGAATAAGAAGCAAGTCATGCAGATAATCTTGGGGGAGAACATTTCAGGCAGAGGAAAGAACACATGAAAAAGGACTTTAAAAATATTATTGTTGGCCGGGTACGGTGGCTCACGCCTGTAATCCCAGCACTTTGGGAGGCCGAGGCGGGTGCATCATGAGGTCAGGAGTTCAAGACCAGCCTGACCAACATGGTAAAACCCATCTCTACTAGAAATACAAAAATTAGCCGGGCATGGTGACATGCATCTGTAATCCTAGCTACTAAGGAGGCTGAGGCAGGAGAATGGCTTGAACCCAGGAGGTGGAGGTTGCAGTGAGCTGAGATCACGCCACTGCACTCCAGCCTGGGAGACAGAGAGAGACTCCGTCACAAACAAAGCAAAACAAAAAACAAACTATTGTTTATCTTGTTGATATGAACTGAGATAGATTCAAGTGTTATTATAATAATTATAAATATTTTTGTTAAAATTTTAATGAATATATTAATATACATAAAATAATGTTTTATATGTAGGACAAAAAAATTAGTTAATTCAGAAAGTAAGATAAACCTTCTTTGACTTAATGATACTTTCTGCAGTGTCGGTATTCACATCCCATTCAAAAGGACGATGCATTTGTACTGCTGTTGGAGGTGTGGAAGTGTTCACATGTATGTAAGGAAGGGTGGGGGAGAGGGGGATACTACAAGGTAAACTTTTCATATTTTCCTATTATTGTCATTCTTAAAAATGGTAAATTTTTATTTGGAGTCTGATATATATACATGTCATCTAAATAATACTTTATTTTGAATATATTTTCCAATTATATAGTCAATATATTTATACTATTATAGAAACTTTATATAATATGAACCTAAAAAATTAAAATATAACTTTTTTGTTTTACTCATACATTATAATTTATTTAAAAATTCCTCATAATAAATCCTGGGTGATATACAAAATTCATGGTGTTAAAATTCTTAATTGCTATTCAGGCAATATGTTTCAGAAGAACAATTCTAAACCCAGTCTTCATTCCTACTCTTTTTTCAAGATGTTGTGATGGTCCACTGTAGTGGGTAGCCTTACCGACAATGTTCTGTATGTTTAAAGGCATATAAAATAATTTACATATTTTTGTGTTGATTTTGTACTCAAAATATATTTAATGTATTCCCATGCCAATATGTTTGTCTTCTTCACTCTTTTTAACAATCACATGCTTTCAATATTTTAAATTATTCTGCCACGTTGATGGACAAAAAACTCCTCTCGTTGTATAATTTTGCATTAGTTTAAAGGGTTTAAAGGGTTAATTTTTAGATTGTTTTCAGAACAACCAAAATCATTCTTTAACATTTCATCAGACTTTGCACTCATCCACCAAAAATATTTCAAGGCATCTTACATGACTCCAAGTCAAATCCAATATCCTGAATATAACCTCCAGGGCTCCATAGTATCCTCTCGCCCTTCCACTCCCCATCACTGACCCATTCCCACTCCCTCCTCTTGCTGCTGCACACAAACTGGCTTTGCCACTTCTCCCTTGTAACAACCACATTCTTACATTAGGGACTTGCACCTGCTATTTTTCTGTCTGCAAAGTACTTCCTTTTTCAAAAACATTTTTATCCCATATATATATCCCATATATGTTATTTTATGTATAAATTATATATAATATGTTATTTTATACATATTATTTTATATATATAAAAGATGATAGATAGATAGATAGATAGATAGATAGATAGATAGATAGATAGATAGATCCTACTATTTTAGTTCCTTCAAATATTTGCTCATTTGTCTCTGCATCAGACAGGCCTCACCTGCTCATTTTATGTGACGACTCACTGTCGCTGTTCTTGCTGTCTTCTTAAACTGCTTTACCTTTCCACGTGGGATCTTTCACTTGACATATTGTATATTTACTTGTTCGTTGATTTTCTGTTTTCTTCTCTTGCCATTCACAAAAATGTAAGCTTTTGTGGGTGGGCTGTTTGTGTGTTTTCTTACTTGATCTATCTCTAGCAACAATTTTCTTAAATGGCATTACAATACAGTTTCACTTGTTTGTTTATCTTCTAGTATTTTATTGTGGTATTTGACATTTTTAATTGATATGTAGGAGTCTAGTATTGCTTTGTTTTTCAAGCATGTCCTGAGGAAGGACCAAATTTTCAACATTTTCTTATTACTTGAAGGAACAAAATTAATTATTAAACTTAGAAGTCCTTACTAATGTTACTTACCATGGTCTAGATGTTTTATATAACTCTAAGTTGTTGCTACATAGGATGTATTGGGAACAAGTATAGGAGATAAAAGAAGAAATTACTGTGATTAATGGAAGGGGATAATTTAAAATAAATGATGACTCCTTACTCTAAATGTTCTTAAATGTCTCATTCCCACGGGAAGAAGGAAAGGAATTGTTAGGATGTAAGCCCAGACATATCTCCCTGAATTATAAAAGCTGAGGAGACATTTGCAGTTCTTTCGACATTCAGCCTAAATATGATTGGTTTAGAGGTCTTAAGAGAGCATGGTTGATTTAAACTCAGTTACATTTTGACTTAATTTATGATAGTGACTTTCTGTAACATTACCTAGTTTGCAACATTTGCTAAACTAAATAATGGAAGTTCAATAATTTATAAAATATTATGTCATATTTAAAATTTGAGTATCCTTATTTATGAACACTTCATTTATCAAATAATTTAATAGGATTTAATAACATGTATGTGTGTTTATTTTCAAAGTGTTAAATTGTATTTTACTTACTTTAGAGACTCTAGGTTTAGATTAAGACATTTTATGAAAGCGATCTGGAGACTAAAATTTGTTCATAATTGTCCCTGCTTATAACAGGCAGTAGTCTCTTAATTTATCAACTGCATATGCTTTCACATTTTTAACAACTGTGAAATTAGCTTGAGTCTTACAATGGTTAACATAAAAACATAATTGGCAAGATTTTTCTTTATTCGTGGTAAATGTAAAATTATGCATATAAATATCAACTAAATATGATATTTTGCTTATTGGGCTTTGCTTTATATGTGTATATGGAAGTCTACTCATTTTTCCAATTAGAGAAAAAAATAAGCAAATAACAATGAAATTAAAACAATATTTAAATTTAAACTTAAATTTAAAATAAAAATTAAATGTAGGTAATTAATGTAACTGGGGTATCCCATTTTAATATTAATAGTTCAATAAAGAGATTGTTCTTTTTTAGATAGTATCTAGGTTTTTTCCTTAAAAATGGGTGATAATTACAAAGATTAAAACTTGAAATGATGCTTGGAATTAGATGTAAGCTATTATAATAATATGCATACTGAATATCCTGGAAATAAATAAGTTCAGGTAAACATTTTATAAACTATGATGTTGAAATGGCATTAACTGGCATTAGGAAGATAATGACATGACATATCATTGTTTCCTCTTCTGATCCTGAATCCATAATCAGAAAAATCCAAGATTACTCAGATTCTGCCCTTACTAATCATACCATTGAGCCAGACCTATGAGAGGTACATGCAACAAATAGAGAAAAGCCAAGTAACACCTTATTGTTATTTTTTTACTTTGATTTCAACAGATATTTGAAGAAACAATCTTAGTAAATATACTGCATTTTAAAAATAGTCAGGACCAAATAGCTTCAAACTAACACAGACTTCCGAGCTCTTGTAATCAATGACACCCTTGAAAGTCTAAACATGAGTCTCAGAATGTATCCCTCTACAAGAGAAGCCCCACTGAAAACATTCACACTATGGGCTGAGCATCTTTAATTCAAACACCTGGTATTTGAAACGCTCCAAAATTTGAAATTTTCTGAGCTATAACACTGTCAGGGGAAAATTCCATACCTGACCTAAAAACACAGTCAAAACACAAATACACAACACAGTCTATTCTGAGTCCCCAAAGGAAAAAATATCCCCCTAGACCCTGTCAGCTACAATATATCTTTTTGGTGCATGTCCAGATTCTCCCACCAAAGCACCCATGAAGGATAATAAAGTGGCACGTGTGCAGGCCAGATGTGCCACTGACAGTTTCTCCAAGATGTCCCACATAGGGTCAAGACCTATGGGCAATACTCACTGTGTTTCTTGCTCATTCTCTGATATGTGGTGTAAACATATTGTTGAAAATGTTAAAGAGGCCTGCAAAATGCCTGTAGAGGAATGCAAATATTTTATAATCTGAAAAAAATTGCAAATCTGAAACACTTGTGGTCCCAAACATTTTGGATAAAGGATATTCAACCTGTATTAGAATGTACCTGAAAGCAGAAACAGATGTGGCCCAAACTAACAAGAATAGGTAAGATGTGTGTGTGAGCTATTTCCAGAATCTGTAAAATAAATAAATAGAAACTTTAAAATATGCTATTTTAGATCTATTAATTGCTAAGTTCTTCCCTTAAATACATTACCAAGTCAAATAAATTTGATTTGTAACACCAAATATTATCTCCCTTTTGGGAATAAAATTTAAAAACAACTAAATCTTTGAACTCAATGAAGAGATGTTTTTAAGAGTCATGAAGTTTTCTGTTCAGAAATGTCCTTTGGAAATTTGCATCTTTGTACAGGCTTTTAAATTTTTTCCTGTTGTATCTCAGTGCCTCAGTGAAAGCTTCCAAAGTAATATCTTACGGAGAAGAGGAGAAAAATACAAAAAAAACAAAAAGCAGAAAAAGTATCTTGCCTGCCTTCCATCACTGCAATTTCTTGCCTGGAATAGGCCCTGTCATGGGGATGAAAGTCATCATTTTTTAGGAAGTTGCTACTTTTATTTTATTAAATTGTACCTGATATTCAAAGTGCTGAATTCAAACTGTTCTTGCAACAAGACTGAGTTCGGTTCCAACTACCAGGATACGCATATCTTTCTAAATTGTCCCTTAAGTGGAAGTAGATAAGCTAATGGCATGTTTCTTGCAGATTGTTTGTGTAAGCATTGTGCTTCCCAACTCTCTCCCACCCTACTTGTGTGAAGAGCAGCACTTGTATTGCTTGCCATGTGGGCCACGTAGGTAGAGACCAGGCGTGCTCTACAGAGGAGCTAACATAATCACACGCTTTGTAGGCCGCAGGTACCATTTTGAGCACTTAAAAACATTAGTTGATTCTCTCAACAACTGTAAATGGAAAGTATTGTAGTAATATGCATTTTAAAGCACAGGAGAGCTATGTCTAGAGACCCTAAGGAACCTGTCCAAGGCCCCACAGTTACGAAGGAGCAGAGCTGAAACTTGACCTCAAGGCATTCTGGATATAGTGGACACAACTGTTTCCACTGCCCTGAACTGTAACGTAGTCCCCTCCTAAGATACGAAGCAGGGAATGTGCTTCCATCATTTTACTAAGCACAGCAGGCAGCTGGAGGAGGATGAGTGGGTGGGTTTATTGCTAACTGAAAGGAGAGCTGATAAAAGGTATCTGGGCAGGAAGAAATCAAGAACTAAGCTGAGACAGCAGCATGCAACCGAGAGACAGTGAAAGGTGAGAGATAATGAGGCAACAGAACGTAGAGGGAGGTGAGTTCACGATAGTCTAGGATTACTTCATTGTTCTATCCCCTTGCCTCTGTTTACTTTTAATTGATTTTTTCTATTCTGTAGAGAGACGATTCTAGGACATTTCTAAATTTCCCAATATATGTCATTATGTCAATATGGAATAATTAGGTAAATACAGACCCAAATCTGAAATTCAGACAGAAATTTTTAAAACGAGAAAACTTTCATGAATTACAAAGCCTATGCCAAAATAAGCGCTCTGTTCCCACGGACACCCATTTTATAATCTGTGATCTATGAGCTTGGTTCAAGCTCTAAGGGGTCTGAGCTACTTAAAATTATAGGCAAACTTAGGCCAGTCCTTGCATCTGTGCAGGTTTCTGGAGAGAGGGTCCCCAGCATGTGCAATAGTCTCAGAGGGGTTTGTAGCAAAACACAGCATGTAGACTACATCCCAGACCCTTAACATGGTGCCGTACTTACTTATTCTCACATACCATGGCATGGTGATTAAGATGGCAGAGTCTGCAGACAGATTGCCTTAAAGTACAGCCCCACCACCTGATTGTTATGACCTTGAGCAAGTTTCTTGATCTTGTCGTGCCTCAGTTTCTTCATCTGAAAAATGGGGAGTCGATTTTGACCATTTTAAGTATTAATACAGATAAAGTTATTAGGGCAGTGCCTGGAACCTACAATAAGCTCTCGTCGCTGTCATTATATTCTTCTTCCTTTGAACCAGCATTTTCTTTCTCTATGCAGCACCATATCTTCAATCATTTCAGCCATAGAATTATATTGAAAGATTATATTAGCATCACATTATGTAATATTATTAACTCAGTAACTTATGAAACTAAGAAGTCCCCCTCAGATAAGAAGAGGTGGCACTGATCATAAAATAACACAAAAAAGAGAAAATGCACAAAAGTCACCAAAAATGCATATTTGATGGATCCCAAACTAAATACATCTTGATTCTGTAGATCTGCATTGAGACCAAGATTTTGCATTTCTAGTGGAGGATCTAGTAAAGTATGAATTATTCCGGTGATCCATGGACCACTATGAAGAGCACTGCTTTTTTTTTTTTTTTTTTTTTTTTTTCAGATAGAGTCTCACTCTATCGCTCTATCGCCCAGGCTGGAGTGCGGTGGTGCAATCTCAGCTCACTGCAACCTCCGCACCCCTGCACTCAAGCGATTTTCTCTCCTCAGCCTCTCGAGTAGCTGGGATTACAGGCATGCACCACCACACCCAGCTAATTTTCATATTTTTAGTAGAGAAAGGGTTTCATCCTGTTGACCAGGATGGTCTCGAACTCCTGACCTCAAGTGATTCGCCTGCCTCAGCCTCCGGAAGTGTTGGGATTACGGGCTTGAGCCACCATGCCTGGCGGAGCACTGATTTTAATGGCTCAACTTTTTGCATTTTTTTTTAAACCTACAGGCTTCTTTGTTACCTCTGTCAGGTCTGATAAGATTTCTGAAACCAACAGATAGCACACAAATTAACTATACACCACACAGAAGTAGAATGGAAAAAAACTAATGCCCTTTCTTTCCAGAAAAATACCTTCTTTTCTCTCTCTTAAAAAAAAAGTTTACTCATTAGTTTTCTACTCCCAAGCTAGCCTGTGTTTTAAAAACATTTCTTATTGACATAGCTTTGATTATCATTTGAAAGTCCTATTTTTTCCACCTGCCTGTATAGCTTCATTCCCTGTCATAAGAATGTCACTGCCACACTACACGCAAGAGATGACTGTTATCAATCAGTCATGAAGAACCACATTTTCTGTTTTCCAAGAGCATGTCTAAGAAGCAAAACAGAAACACACACACACACACACACAAACACACACACACACCTTATAGTTTATCATGTGAGTTTGCATGAGAAATATGAAGAACTACAATGATGGCCAAGACTTGTAAGCATCTTGCATCAAAACATTATAAAAATATTCTGATTTTTAAAATAATGTAGATTCTTTAAAAATTAATTTCTCATCTTCACTGTAGCTAAATATTTTGAAACTGTGTAATTTTTTCATCATAGAAAAAGGAATTTAGAAACATATTTCTTGGCATATCATTCCAATGGGAATTTCATGCAAAAGTAATATTGTAACAGCAGGCTGGAAAGAAGACTCATTGCCTTGTCAAATGCCAGTTACAAAATTAGACACAGCCTTAAAGGGAATAAATGGGGGATTAAAATGTTTTTGAAGCTGCTCATTTGTCTAAACTTTATTAAAATTTCCATGAAAGGGTAATGATATTGATCGATATATCGTCATATGTACAGAACAAAAACAAGGTGAACAAAAGAATGATAAATTATTTTGTCTCAAAAATTAACTTTATTGATGGCTAATGCTGTCTGAATAGTATTTAGATGAATTAAGCAGATGCTACACCTCTATTTTTAAAGAAAGACGTTCCACTTCAAACCAAAACATAGAAAGATACAGCTTAGAAAAATATGTAAAGGTTTAAAACTGTAGGCTAGGCACAGTGGCTCACGCCTGTAATTGTAGCACTTTAGGAGGCCGAAGAGGGTGGATCACAAGGTCAGGAGTTTGAAACCAGCCTGGCCAACATAGTGAAACCCCGTCTCTATGAAAAATACAAAAAAAAAAAAAAGTTTAGCCAGGAGTGGCGGTGGGCACTTGTAATCACAGCTATGCGGGAAGTTGAGGCAGGAGAATTGCATGAACTCGGGAGGTGGAAGTTTCAGTGAGTCAAGATTGTGCCACTGCACTCCTGCCGAGCGCGGGTGACAGTGCAAGCCTCCGTCTCAAGAAAAGAAAAGAAAAAAAAAAAAAAGAAAATATTTAAAACCGTCAACCTTACCAGGGGGAGGTACTATTAACAAAATACAATTTTATCTAAAATAAAATTTGTATCATTGCCATACTTATTATCAATATGCAATGTATATATTCACCTCAGTGACTAATTTAGGTTATAAATCATGAATGATTACATCTTTTTCTTCTATTTTAATATCTGAGTCCATTCTGGTTCCAGAGTGACACATTCCCAGTTTCTTTTCTAGGTCTATGGGCTGGTGCCCTTATACAGCTGGGCTGACAGAGCTACCTTTACTCTCGCTTGATTCCAAGTATAAATAGATTCACATATACTTTTTATTTCCTTTATAATTAGGTTTTCTAGTTATAAATACTTTGTTCATGTATGAGTATATCATTACACTCAAGAGCAAGTCACTGGACAGCACATACACTAGACCTACCCGAGGAGTATGTATTTGAAAATCTCACAGACTGAAAAGTTGTAGGTGAGTGCGCCGGTTCCCAGTTGGCCACCGCTATGTGTGCCTCAAAGAGTTGTCTATGAGGTCTTTAAGCAACATGTTTCAGGAATCCCAGGCCCTTCCGCTGTGATACCAGGAGCTGTGACCAGCACAATATGATCTGGTGGAGGCTTGGCTCTATCACTGATTTACCAACACAGGGTTCAAGGTTGAAGTAATGCCATTTCCTCTTCCGCTATGATCAGGGCCTGGGGTGCAAGTATGACATCTGCATCTGTACGTTTGCTGCAGTGAGTTGGTTGCATGATTTGCCGTTTCAACATTCCTCATGGGGAGAACAACACCTTGCCCACTTACGTGACCAACTCATGTTTGGGATTGAAGCACTGTTATTAATCTTGACCTTGGCCATTTTCAGGGAGCTTCATTAGAGACCAGTATCTTTCTGGGGAGATCAGCCTACAGTGAGAAGTCTTTCACTAACTTTTACCCAGCTCTGATTAAAAAAAAAAATCCATTAACAAATTAAATGTAGATTTACTAAAAAGCAAAGAATATATTATAATCATCAAATTTGTAATGTATTTACAATTATAACTTGATTATAAGTTAATATTCATAATTTTAAAATTAAATTAAAATTTATCATGTTTAAATATTTGTTGTAGATATAAAAGTTAGAACAAAAGACTCAGAAATTATTACGAATATGACTGGCAAAACAATAATTATAAAAATAACAGTTAACAGAAATTATTATAAATATGACTGGCAATACAATAATTATAAAAATAACAAACTAACTTTTGTGACTTCCACAATGAAAAAGTGTCCACAGAGCTTCAATATTGTTTTGTTTCAATACAAGTAATACACTCACATGGTAAAAAGAAAACATTTAATAAGAAAACAAATTTTATAGATTGTAAAATTCTCCCTTTATAATCTCCAAATTATAACCTACTCTCCATAAGTCTCCATTCTTAAAATATCTGGTTTTATTTAATTTGATTATTACCTCAATAACTCTAATGAATACAATTAAAATGCAAGATAAAATTTTAGATTATGTATGCTTCTTCTCTATTCTTAGGGGCAATAAATATAGGGATTCAGACTCCTAAGACCGACTTGGGTCTTGAGAAAAATACTTCAATTTTCTGTGCTTAATTTAAAAATAGAATAATAATAGTATTTACCTTATAAGTTTGTTGTGAGGATTCATTGAGTTAATATGCATAAAGTGTTCAGAACTGTGTATGATGCATAATAAAGATGCACGCAATGTTACTAGTAATAGGAGACAGTTGACGGACCTAAATTACAAACCCTGTTAACTTCTATCTCTTTCATCTTCCACTTCCTCTTCAAAATTTTGTTAATTATATAACTCATAGTTTCTCTATCAATTACTTTTACAGTTTAAAATAGAATATAAATCTATTGTTGGATCCATCACATTTCGATAGATTTATTAATTGATATATATAAAATTGATATATTAATTGATGATATATATTGCTTTCTCACTTTTAAATATAAGTAACATAGCTGTACTTTCTGCCACTCTCTGATTTATTTTTCTTTGCCAAAGTCAAGGCTTATAACATTGGTAATATGTACTATATCTATAATAATCTAAAGACATTTTGTTTAAAGATCTATGCTATGTATTGGAACACATTGAACACTATTCCATTGTAGCAAATAATTATCAGGTGTTTATTTTGTGCCAGTCACTGTGCTAGGTACTAAGTATATGAGATAAATAATCTTGGTTTATGATTACGACAATCCTATAAGTAAGGTTGTATTTTTAGAAATGTGTTTTGTAAATGAGATTCTATTTTATTTTCTAATTAATTAATTTTTTTAATTGGCAAATACAAATTTTGTATATTTATTGGGTACAACATGATGTTTTGAAATATGTACACACTGCGAAATGGCTAAGTCAAGTGAATTAGCATATGTATTACCTCACATACTTATAATTGTTTTGTGGTGAGAACAGTTAAAATCTACTCTCTGTAATTTGTGACAGGATGGATAAACCTGGAAGACATTGTGCTAAGTGAAGCATGCCAAGCACAGTAAGATAAATACTGCATGTCGCTTATAAGTGGAACCTTAAAACGTTGACTCGTAGAAGCAGAGAGTGGAATAGTGGTTACCAAAGGTTGGAGGTAAACTTGAGGTTGGAGAGATGTTCAAAGGATACAAAATTTCAGTTAGACAGGAGAAATAAGTTCAAGAGACCCAGTGTACACCATGGTGACTATGAATTAAAAAATGCATTGTGTTCTTGAAAATTGCTAAGAGAGTCGATTTTAAGTGTTCTCACCACAAAACAATGATAAGTATGTGAGGTAATACATATGTTAATTCACTTGATTTAGTCACTATGTTGTACACTGAGTCTCTTGAACTTTTATTATTTCTCCTGTCTTCACTTAGTATAATGTCTTTCAGGTTTAATCATGTTGTCACAAATTACAGGATTTCTTCTTTTTTTTGAGGGTGCATAGCATTCCATTGCTTATAATTACCACATTTTCTTTTTCTGTTCATGGATTGATGGAGATCTTGGCTATTGTGAATAATATTTATAGCAACTCAGGAGTGCAGATATCTTATTGACATAGTGATTTCATTTCCTTTCAGTATATGCCCAGTAGTGAGATTGCCAGATCACATGTAGTTCTATTTTTAATGTTTGGATGAACTTCCATGCTGTTTTCTATGAAGGCTGTACTGATTTGTATTCCCACCAGCAATGTGCAAGGATTTCCTTATCTCCATATTCTCACCAAAACTTGTTATATTTTTTTATTTTTACAATAGTCATTCTAAAATATATGATGTAATGTCTCACTGTGGGCTTAATTTTCATTTCCTTTATGATTAATGATAGACATTTTTATATTTATCTATTGGGCATATATATTTATATATAGCATATATATTTATTTATAGATAGTATATATACAGTATATTTATATTTATCTGTTGGGCATTTATATATACTATATATGTGTGTATATATACATTCATATATACATCATATATACACATGAATACATACATCATGTATATGATGTATATATAATACATACATATGTATGTATATATACTGTGTATATACATACTAAATATGTGTGTGTATATATATGTAAATATATATTGTTGGGCATTTGTCCTCTTGAGAAATGTCTATTCAAGTTTTTTGCCATTTTTAAATAGAATTATTTGTTTTCTTATAATTCAGTAGTTTGAGTTCTTTGTGTATTCTGGATATTGATCCCTTATCAGATATGTGATTCACAAATAATTTCTCTCATTCCATCAGTTGTCTCTTCACTTAGTTGATCATTCCCTTTGCTGTGCAAAAACTTTTTAGTTAGATGCAATCCTATTTGTGTCTTTTTGCTTTTCTTGTCTGTGCTTTTGGGTCATATCCAAAAAAATCATGGCTCAGACAAATGTTATGGAGCCTTTCCCCTATTTTTTTATCGAGTGGTTTTGCAGTTTCGGTTCTTAAATTTAAGGCTTTAGTCCATTTTGAGTTGTTTTTGCATGGTATAAGATAAAGTTATCATTCCATACTTCTGCATGTGGATATCCAGTTTTCCCACCGCAATCTATTGATGAGATTGTCCACACCTAGTGTGACAACTTTGTCAAAAACCAATTGACTGTAAATGCATAAATTTATTTCTGGGCTTTCTCTTTTGTTCCACTAGTCTATGTGTCTGTTTTTTTTTTATGGCGGTGTTATGCTGTTTTGGTTACTATAGTATGTAGTATATTTTGAAGTCAGGTAGTGTAATGCTTCCAGTTTTGTTCTTCTTGCTCAAAATTGCTTTGGCTATTCAAGATCCTTTGTGGTTCTATCTGAATTTTAGAATTTGTTTCTATTTATACGAAAATGGAATTTTGATAGGGATTGTATTAAATCTGTAGATCACTTTGGGTAGAATGGGCATTTTAACAATTTGATTCTTCCAGGCTATGACAGGAGATGTCTTTCCACTTATTTGTATCTTCTTCAGTTTCTTTCAGCAATGTCTTATAGTTTTCAGTGAGAAGGTTTTTCTCGTCCTTTCTTAAATTTATTCTTAAGTGTTTTTTGCAGCTATTGTGAATGGGATTGTTTTCTTGATTTCCTTTTTGGAGAGTTTATTGTTAATGTATAGAAACACTACTGATTTTTGTATGTTAATTTTGTATCCTGAAAATTTACTGAATTTATTCATTCCAGAAGATTGTTGGTAGAGTCTTTAAGGTTTTCTATAGATAAAATCATATCATTTGCAAATATGGACAATTTAGCTTTTTCATTTCCAACTTGAATACCATCTTCTTCTTTCTCCTGACCAAATTCTCTGGTTAGCAATTGTAGGACTATGTTTAATAAAGTAGTGAGAATGACCATCTTTTTCTTATTCCTGATCTCAGAGGAAAAGCTTTAAGTATTTTACTATTAAGTATGATTAAAGCTGTGGGTTTTTTCATATGTGGCCTTTATTGTACACGTTTTCTACACCTAATTTGTTGACAATTTTTATCATGAAAGCATATTGAATTTTCTCATTATTTTTCTGTATCTATTGAGATGATCATACGGTATTAATATTTTCTTTGATCTGTTAATGTTGAAAGAGGTTCTATTTTTAAAACCCAGTTTTGTACATGGAAACACTAATATATAGAAAGATTTTAGAAAACTCTGAACGGTTAACACATAATAAATGAAGGAAATCTGTCATCAGGGACTGCATTTTTAAATTATTATGTGTTATGATGCCACTCAAGTATATTTACAAATCAGTATTATGGCTGTGTAAATACTATTACTGACATATTTAAGTACCATGATGGACTCTTAAGTAAGGAATGAAAACCTTTGCTTTTAAAGAGCTTGAAGAATGTTTAAGACTATCAGGTTAAATGCATTCTTTTTTACTCTCTATCAGTTGCTCAAAACTATACCACCTATTAGATTGCTTTATGATCACACCATAACTACTTTTAAAGTATTGTGGATTTTCTGGAGTCTCTAGTTAATGTTTTTGTACATAGATATGTCACATAAAAGTATTTCAATTTCCCACAACATGAATTTTACTGATTGAAAACTACATTTTTGTTGACCAAAGAGATATCTTTATCTTCCAACTTCCAAATCTTTAAATTTAATTAAATTAACCTTGCTAATACAACATTCTTCATAGAACCTCCTTCTTTTTGGAATCTTGTTTTCAGTTGCCTAGAATAGATAATGGAGTTGGCTGAGTGAGGATGACTACAAATAATAGAGACATTAATAAAAAGATAGTTTATTCCTCAAATAAGTTCAAGGTGGTCCTTGCTGCAAATCAGTTCCATAATTGTTGGGCTTCTGTGTCATATTTCTGTCATCTTCAACACATGGTTTTATTCTCATGGTCCAATATGTCAACTCCAATTTTCTCCATCATATCACTATTTTGGCAAAAGGGAGGAAGAAATAGGAAAGGCAGTGGTATAAGGAAGGGTTCTCTTTCTGTGAAGGAAATAACCCAGATAGCTCTCAAGTTTACATTGCATTGGTTAGAACCTAATCTAGTCAGAGAGCCACACATAGCTGTAAGAGAGGTTGTGGGATCTTATCTTTAACAGCATGACCATTGTTCATTGTAAGAAGAGATAGTAGAGGACATTTACCTCCTACTGCCACAATTCACTCTCTTGAAAAGCCAAAAATATGCCTGCTTGTCTTTGTATTTTCATATAGCAGCCATGAAGTTATTTTACTTATTTATTTATTGAGATGGAGTTTCACTCTTGTTGCCCAGGCTGGAGTGCAATGGCGTGATCTCGGCTCACTGCAACCTCCGCCTCCCGGGTTCAAGTGATGATTCTCCTGCCTCAGCCTCCCAGGTGGCTGGGATTACAGGCATGCATCATCACGCCTGGCTGTTTTTTTTTTTCTCTCTTTAGTAGAGATGGGGTTTCACCATGTTGGTCAAGCTGGTCTCAAACTCCTGCCCTCAGGTGACCCACTTGCCTCGGCTGCCCAACGTGCTATGATAACAGGCATGAGCCACTGAGCCCGGCTAGCAGCCATGAAATTCTATCCCATTATGTCATTCACCTCTGGATTTCTGGCTGCTGTGTTGTCTTCCTTGGGATCTGGCTACATATTAACTAAACTTAAAAAAAAAAAATAAGAACAAAGGCAGGTTATTTGCACACTCTGCTCACCCCAACACTCAGTAAACACCAAAATAAAACAGTTTGGTTGAAATAGGTAATTACAATATAACATACCATATGAAGAAGAAAAAAAGACAAACACTGCCACCATCAAAATGAATGAAGTACGCTGGCTTATAGCTATTATCATATTTTGCTAGGTCAGAATTATTAAGACTTTTGGTTAAGGCAAGGAGGTAAATTTTCTGGTAAACCTATTTTTCAGCCCCGTTTTGCTCTCTGGGAGGAATTCTTTGTCTGCTGTCGGATGATGTTGGTTTTGCGCTCTAAGTGGTCCTTTCTTTCTTTTATCCTCTGTAATCATTTTGAAATTTACAGATCATTTGCAGCTAAATGTTTGTTAGTGCACATTGGAGTAGAACAGTCTCAGGCTTCTGTAGACTAACATGAAGTCTAACAATATATTTTCAGTGAAACATGAAATGGGTTTCCAATCTGCTTGCTTTTTGGCAATTTCTTCTGCAAATAACCCATACATAGAGCCCAGCTAGATGTACAGATTAAACATAAACAGTCTTATATTCTATGTACTAGTTTTTGTATTTTTTCCTTCAAAATCTCTCTTGGACCACAGGAAAGGATAATAATTGAAGCAGTTTTTAAAAATATTTATCAGTCAACATTAAGTTTAGAAATCTGTGTTTTTTTGTGACAAGTGTGATGGTTTTTTAATTCTTATTTCATTGTGGATAGCCTATTTTTTCATAACATAAACCTTTGGATTTATCTATTTTTCACTGAAATATTGAAAACATAGTTCTATGTGTCTAGGTCAGGGAACTGTGTGCTTTTCAACTTAAAGATTTAATCCCTTTATGCAACTATAACAATCATTCTAAATGGAAAATGTGTAATGGTTGGAGGAGGATGGTTTATTTGGCAACCATTTAATTAGTTGCCAAAGATATTTTCTGTCTTCCTGGTCTCTGTCAATGTATCTGTATTTCTATAACCAATGTTATTAGAAATGTTGTATTTTTGGTGCATATTTAATGTAATTTTGATGGGATTGTGAGGGAGAAATCAACTTTGGCAATATGTTCTCAATTCACACTTATTTAAAGCCTCAAAAACATTAACCAATGTAATTAATGATCAGAGTTTCATGAATGAGAATATTTACCAGGTATATATCCAGCTACCAAACTATTTAGAGAAGCAGAAACTTTAATAACATAAATTTAAGTTGCTTTTCATATATAATAAACATAAAAATAGCTTTGTTATCAATAAAATGACTTATTTTTCATTTTAATTTGTTGCTATCTTTCAAATATTTAATAATAATATATTTCCTCTTCTAAAATTAGATACTGTTAGATCTTGAATGAAGTAGATTATTCCAATGACAACACTTCTTCCTTGCATCTATTACTCCTTCAGACTTTCAACTGACTTATTTCATAATAAGCTGTTAAGAAATTTGTTTTGAAAAGGAGATGTTGTGAAATATTATTATTGGTTAACTTTGTATCTGAATACAATATTTAGTAGATTTGTAGGGATCATAGTCAAATTTGAATGGATTTAAGAAAAATGACGAGAGGAGGTATTTTGCAAAAGAGAGAAAATAACCTGGATGGTAGCTGTTTGGAGATATAGAAGCAAGCAGGTTTTTGTTGTTTTTGTTTATTTCATTTTGTTGCTTAGGATGTAAAGAGAAGTCATATATTTGTTTGCTGCTGGGGAGACAGCAGCAGAAATTGTAAAATCAGCAAGAGAGAGTGGAAAATTGCTAAACAATATACTTAAATAGAAAGAGGATGGAGTCTAGAAAGTAAGTGGAGGGATTGGCTTGGCATAATAACTGTCAGTCAATGAAGTTATCAGTGGGAAAGGCAGGGTGTGGTGTGCAGATGTTGATGGTTGGGTACACGTGATAGTGGGAATCTGCAGAACATCATTCCCAATGTTTCCAATACATTAGCAAAGATAAATCAAAGGTATCCGCTGTAATTAGGGAGAGGAGAGAGCTGGAGGTTTGAGGAGAGAAATAGATCAGTCATCAAGGAGAGTGAGAGATTAATGATGTAGGGAAGTGTGATTGTCAGACAGCCCACTAGGTCACTCTTCTTTTGTATCATTAAGTGAGGTCAATCTGATGCGTGGCTGCAGAAACAGAGGTAGGAAGTTGGATTTAACCAAAAATGATGTTTTTGCCATGTGAGTTTAAACAGTGAGAAAAATACAGAGGAGTCAAGGAATTGTATAAAAGAGAATTATTTTCATTGATCATGGTATTTAAGCTGGTTCAGAAAAAGAGAACATCAAATGAGCTACAGGCAGTGAAAATGTAGTAAGACTTGAAGCCCCTTTGGGGTAGAAGAACTGTTAGAGCCTTCAAATCCTAGTTAAGTAGTGGTCAGAAAATGGGATGAATGAAACTGAAATTACAAAAATTTTGCAGTTGTTTGTAATGACAAAACCAGTAAATTTCCTAGGTGGAGAAAAGAATAAGAGCATCAAAGGAGAGGACTCAAGGATTTGAGAAGTTAGTGTGCTGGATGATCTATGTGTATACTAGAATCATGAAGAATTAAGACAGGGTTTCTTGTAAAGAAAATGTCAGTGAACTAGAAACTGAAGTCATCCGGAAATAAGGGTAAATGGTCCAGGTATTGAGAAGTGACAGCAATAAAGCTTCATAAATGGTAATATGAAGTGATGATAAACATTTTAAAGTTGGGCAGTTTTAGGGACATGGGAGAGAAAATGGTCTCAAGGATATATAAAGAGCAGGAGAGACAGGTGTCCTGCATCCAAACCTGGTGTTTACAAATCTTTTGTCAGGGAGAGTTGGCAAAAACATTGACCTCTCCAGCGGAGGCAAGGTTCATTGGAATAAGCAGATTAATGGACTGTTCATAGAAAATATAGACCATAAAGTGGATTTTCAAAAGGCATGATAGAAAGATTTTAGGAAGGATGACAAAGTGATGAGGATAAGAAAGATTTGGATTATTTTGTTGAGTAGAGTATGGGAGATAGCTGGTAGAACAAGAGGTGTTTTGTGATGACCATTTACACAGCATGAGAGGGTGTGATGAAATCTATTCCAGCATATTTGTGACACAATGGTGGCAAGGGTGTGGATGTTGGAATAGAGGGGTGATGGATGTCTGGGGATCACTAACAACTCCCGTGAGAAGAAACCAAGACCTCAGCAAAGTGAATTTTGAACAGAGAGAAAAGCAAATGCAAAGACTCTAAAACAAATGCAAAAAGCCTTTGATATCCTTAAGAAACAACAAAAAGTCCAGGTAGAATGGAGATAACTGAGATTAGGTCTGAAAGGTAGCCAAAGGCTAAATCATAGAGAAACTAGGAGACCCTGGAAAGAGTTGGATTCCATTTAGAATAAGATGAAGAGTCTTTGCAGAGTTTTGAGCAGAGGAGTGATTTTATCTAATTTAGGTTGTGAAAGGCTAAATTGGATTTTGTGTAGAAAGATTAGTCAAATAAATATGCAGGAAAGCAAAACTGGAAGCTTAGAAAAAGTTACAAGTGGTGGAGGTGTTGAGAATTCAGAGGATTTTGCATATATTTTGAAATGAGAGCAAAATAGATTTGTTGTTGGAATGTTTATACATTTGAAGAACAGAATAAGAGTCAGAGATAACTTAAAATCCTCTGTTCTTGCCAACTGGTAATTTCCACTTACTGAGATGAGAAGGCCAATGGAGAAGTCTTGTCCATTTGGGGAGAAAGTCAAGAGTTCTGTTTCAACGTACGGTAATTGAGATATGTTTTAGACAAGTAATGGAGATGCTAAATGGGAAGTTGATTTCATGAGTCTGGAGTTGAGGGATAAAGTCAGAGTAGATTTAAATTACATTAATTTCTGCTTTATTCTTTTGTTTACATGCTTTATTTTAAAACACTATAATTATACTACTAGTTCTGTTTAGACAACATGTTAACTTTCTCCCTCTGTTTTACAAATGTAATACTTTCCTACTTTTTAATGTTCTCACCCCTGCCTTCTATTTCATACCATCTAGAAGTTATACCTCTTTTTTTTTTTTTTTTTTTTTGGGGGGGGGGCGGATGGAATCTTGCTGTGTCACCCAGGCTAGAGTGCAGTGGCATGATTTCAGCTCACTGCAACCTCCACCTCCCAGGTTCAAGAGATTCTCCTGCCTCAGCCTCCCCACTAGCTGGGATTACAGGTCTGTGCCCCCACACCTGGCTAACTTTTTGTATTTTTAGTAGAGGTGTGGTTTCACCATATTGGTCAGGCTGGTCTTGAACTCCTGACCTCGTGATCTGCCTGCCTCGGCCTCCCAAAGTGCTGGGATTACAGGCGTGAGCCACTTCTCCCTGCCAAAGTTATACATCTTCTTTTATACCCATTATATATTTTTTCACAGTTTCTCTTTCTGTAAATATTGGCCCTTTCCCCTGAGAGAGCTGTCTTATTTCATTTACCTGTTCCTCAGGTTTCTCTCTCCTCCTGTTCTCATTCTGCTCTTCAGCTCATTATTAGCTTTCTATTTTCTTCACAACAAAAATTTTAATTTTGAAAATCTTTGTATGCTACTTCATGGAAATGCTGCCTCCCATATTACTCTGAAGTTATAATTTATATTTGTGTTGATTCTTTTATCTGTTGCTTTATATGTTGGTGTACATTTTGTTATTTTTTATTTTCTGTTTGTTGAGTTGATCTCTCACATTTATGAGGTTATCTTTTCTGAAAATTTAATTGATTCTTGTTTGATCCTCATGTTTTGAATCTAAGATTGTCCATGGCCTGTTTTACAAGTACAATATATGCTTACCATGCTCTGCCTGCGGTGATGATGCGGGAGAGGACAGGCATGCTTATGCTTCAGAAATGGAAACTTTTTGGGTATCCCAATGTCTCTATGCAGGATTCTTCCCTGCTTTCTGTCCAAAAGGCCTACCCCTTCTGCCCCTTTCTCAAGAAGATAGTGTTGTCTACTGTTTGGTATGAGTAAGTGAAGAGCAGGGAGCCTAATTAGCCTGGCTGTTCCTCCAAACAAACATCTCATGTCTCCTCCTCAGTCCCAAGATTTGCCACATTTTAGTTCAGAGCAACTCTCACAGTAAAGCAGGCTGCTACAAAAATGAGAGCAGGTAGGAAGTTTTGTACCCATCTTCCTGCTTAGTGTGTGCAAGGCATTCTGCTAAGCTCTTTATATAGATGGAACCATTTCATGTCCACATCAGACATATAAAATAAATCCTATTATTGTCCCCAATGTACAGATGAGGATACTCTCAAAGAGAGATGATGTAATTTTACCAAGGTTACAATATTAAGTAGCGATCTGGGATCCAATCCTGGATCCATGGCTGAGCCACCATGGGTCAATCCTACGGGGTCCATGCCTGAGGCACCAAGATTTACTACCAACACTCAATAATATTTTATATTTTTCCTTTTCTGAAATCTGGGTGTTAGTCCTTTGACTACTTTAGGTCTCTTCTCCAGGAGTGACTCCTTTTTTCTCCACCGCTCTTTTCTTTATAATGTTCTAGTGTCTTTGGCCTCTTTTATTATGGGATCTTCTTCTGAATTTGTAGAAAATGCAAAAGTATTATGAGTTACGTATTTTTGTGTATTAATCTATCTACTTTCATCATTTTAAGTGTAGTTATAACACTGAAGCATTTGAAGTTTTCAGAGCTGCTAATTGTGGCTGTTTCCATTGTTTTAATTTTTATTCTTTGTGTATGAATGTGAAGAGAATCCAGGGTACATCTGAATTCTCTTAAATTATATACAACATTGTGTTCATGTCTACATCTGTATTTTTTTTTCCTGTGGGAAAGATCCATAGATTTTATTAGATCTTGAAATTGTTGTAAACCACAAAAGACATTATATAGGAAAAAGTTGTCCCTGCATGCTCATTTTTACCATACTTTTATTTTCTAAACAAAATGATGAAACCAAAAAATGCATAAAGACATAGCTATATTGAATGAAAAATACAATTTCCAAGTGGATTATTTACTTAAGAATTTTGCTATTGGAAATGCGAGTAAAAAGAGATCAGAAGAAGCACAAAATGCTAAATTCTAAATCTTGCAACTATATACGAGCATAACAAATGAACACCTCTCATTTCCTCATAAAATATAGCATTATTTACAAACCACATAAAACACACAAAATGGCTCTAATGGTAGTAAATATGTATTATCATTCTAAATCAAGCCATAACTAATGACACTCTGGGAAAGGTTTAGTTTATACTGAGGCTAGGTGTCTTGCAAATGAAAAGCTGTTTAAGTGCTAAAATCAATTGACTCTATAATACCATGTTTTCTGATGGGAATAGTGCACAAAAATGCCTGGAAGTTGTTTGTTACAATGGCTAAATGAGATTCTACCTCTGGTTATTATCAACCCATACATTCATCATTATAAACCGCTTCATTTTTATTTTATTATATTGATTTACCTTAGCACCCAAGATAGTTTGTACACCTAGAAAATTCAGAAAACAGAAAACATTGATTTACTTAAATTATTCAATACTTTACTGTATGGCTATTATGTCATTTAACATTTTAGACAAATCAATACAACTTTTTTTAATTGCCTGTCACATACCTAAGGTATCGCAAATGTGTTTTGCTGGAATCATTAATTTGCACTATTCAGATGACATTTTTATAAATCAACTAGTTTAAAACAATAAAGTAGCACATGTGGGAAAAAAGCACTAGGATATGAAATGAATAATTTAAACTAGTTGGACTATATTACACCACAGAATACTTTACTAAGTTTCTAATAAACCTATTTCACAAATAGCTGAAAGGTAGTCTTCTGTCTTATGTGGACAATGTGTGTATGTGTGTGTATACATGGATATATATATATGTGTACAAATATGTGTGTGTGTGTGTATATATATTCTCTGTTAAACTCTCCATAGTATAATAGATGGAATGCTAAGTAAGCTCAATATAATGTTTGCTATTTTGAGAAATCAACTGTAGATAATTTTGACTAAAAAGCATAGTAACCATTGTAATGAGAGGAAATACATCCTTCAGAGGATGTTTACTATATTTGTATAATAAAAGAGGCTGAGAAAGTTAATAATGGAAAGGTAATGAAATTATATAGCACTGTGATTATATAAATATGTTACTTCCACCTGCACATATTATCTTCTTTCTGATCATCCTGAAAGGAGTTAGTATGAATGTTGGGCTCATTCTCCCACCTAGAAAATAAGCCTTATATGGGCAGAGATTTCTGTCTGTTTTATTCATTTTCCTATACACATAATGCCTATAACATTCCTAACATAGGTGCTCAGTAAACATTCATTAAATGAGCATTGCATCAAAAGTATAATTTTGTCTTTGATTTAATTGGGGTACAAGCACAAGCCATTTGGCGAACCTATATGTGTAATTTCCTACAGTCTTAAATAATATTGAATGAAATGAAACACGTGCAACATAAAAAGGTATCAAGTGGCCGGGCGCGGTGGCTACACCTGTAATCCCAGCACTTTGGGAGGCCAAGGTGGGTGGATCACCCAAGGACAAGAGTTCGAGACCAGACTGACCAAAATGGAGAAATCCCATCACTACTAAAAATACAAAAATTAGCTGGGTGTGGTGGTGCATGCCTCTAATCCCAGCTACTCGGGAGGCTGAGGCAGGAGAATCGCTTCAACCAGGGAGGCGGAGGTTTCAGTGAACTGAGGTCGTGCCATTGCACTCCAGCCTGGCCAACAAGAGCGAAACTCCATCTCAAAAAACAAACAAACCAAAAGGTATCAAGTGTAAGTGGACACAGCTATCATAATACTTGGAAGCTGTATTTGAACTTCAGTAATATTTCTAAAATGTTGTCTATACCTTATAGAATGAAATAATGTAATATAGCAGAGCTTTAAGAAGAATATAACAGTCACCCAACATTGGAATAGCCAGATCATAGCCAGATAGAAACCATTGGCATTTTGTAGAATAACTTTGCATAGGCATTTGAACGATTATGTTCCAGTGACGTTCCTGTCAATTCAGTTTCATGATGTCAAGTATTAGAAAATTTTATTATTGCCTAGTTAAATATAGGAATATTGTACCTGTAAAGAATTAAAACTGTATAAGTGTGTTGAATTACCATAATTATTTACTCATTGATTTTTAAACTACTATGTCTGAGGCATATAAAATAATGCAGAAACTGTTGTAGATAATTTCTTGCAACTAAAACGCTTTATATCTGAGAAAAAGAAGAAATTAATTAATAAGAGCTTTAAAAAGAAGTGTGTGGAGAATGATAGGCCACAAGAAGAACGAGTTGTAGGAATGTAAATTATACTAATGCTTCTAATACCATATGTGGTATAGGACCATTTCTCCTACAAATTGTCATAGACCAATACTTTTGAAAAACCCAACAAAAATTGAAACTCTATAAAAATGAAATTTTAAGACATACAAAAATAAATCACAATTTTTAAGTATTAAATTTAACAAGGAAATGTTTATTTCAATAAAATATGCAAGACAATTATAGCATCAAAAAATACAAAAACATGTACTTGTTGATCATTGAAAGTGACCATTTTGCAGATAAGACAACCACTCTTGTACTTGTAACTTTGTGTCATCATACATTATAATTAAACAGAAATTTATGAATGAAGTAGCAATTCCCTGTATCAAAAATCTTCAGGTCTATTTTAATCAGATACATGAATTTTTAAAATGTTTAATGTGACGAATGTCCAAGCTATTTCCCTATTAATTTATCACATCTAAAGTAGATTATAACCTCATCACCCACAGGACATAATGTGTATTTAAACCCTTCTATTATTTGTTTAAAAAATACTTATGGTAAATTAGTCAGTCTCAGAGATGCATTTTGACAAGAATGGGGGAGAGGATTATAAAGCAAGTTCAGCATATACATTTACAATTTTTATCTAAATAAGGAAGTTATGTTCTATTTTTGAAATTAATTTGCCTAAAATTGTACAGTTTAAAGCTGTTAAATTTCAATAAGCTTTTTGATAAAAAATGAAACAAACAAATAAAAAAACAGATTCAAATCCATGAATCTCCTATGGTTGTATCTACTTTGAGAAAAAATAAAATACAAAACATTGTATTAAATTCATAAGGAGATTGGTGATAACTTTCAACGGTGTACAATAGTGAGATCATGACCTACTTCACTGATAGTTGTTGTTAACTATGAAACATGTCATAACAATTCTTAGAAACACTTTTTTTCCAAACTTCTGACTTTCCTTTGTGCCCTTTGATCTTATCTGTTATTTAAAACAGCCAGTTACAATGTTGTGTTTCTTCCTTGTGTGCAGAAATTAAAATCATTAAAATACCAAATATATGAGACATATAAGCAAGTTTGTCCAACTCATATCTTTAAAAAGTTGGGACCAAACTGAACCATTGTCTTACAGAAACACTGAGAGTTTCTTCTATAGTTCAAATTTTCCCAACTGAAGTTTTGCACTTGAAAACATAATATTTTGGCATGAAATTCCATTTGTTTACAATTGTTTTAAGATAATTCTTTTATTTTTATATTATTACTTAATAAAGTGTAATTTGATTTTAATACATGTGTCTTTATATACCATGATTACAATACATATCACTAAATGCTAATCACTAAATACACTGCTTAGTTTGTGTGACTTCTTTTTCATACCAACTCGCTCTCAACATATAAAATAATTGTTGATGTATATTTCGGTGTGATAACCTTAATTTGGTGCACTTTTGCCATTAAAATATATTCTACGAAAAATAAGTCCACCTCAGAGCTTATCCCTCATAGTTTTATATTGCTCACAACTAGTGTGTTTGTTGGCAATGGCTATGAAAAACAGAAAGATTTAATATTTCATATCACCATTATGTTCAAATAGTAACTATATAAAAAAGATGTTAACAATATCTGCATTTTTCAAGTTGCAATAAAAAAGACTTTGCTGACTTTATTTGTTCAGTGAGTTGGTCTTTTATACCTTTAGCCAATTTCTGACTATGCCCAGGTAGAATGTCATTGGAGAGTGGACTGTGAGCTACCCTCTTTGCAACGGATTCACCTAACATTTGTAATAACATATTTAATGCCATATTACACTAATGTGAAATATAATGAATTTTGAAAAATGTCAAAATTTATTTGAGCTGGGCTATAATGATCATTCTGAGGAGAAAAAGGAAAGATGCGTTTGCTAATGATGTATTTTTAAAATGTTTTCTCCATGAATTCTGAAACGGTCCTAGCCAGAAGCATATTCTATAGGCATAGTCTGTGGGTAATATTTTGTACATTAAGTTAAATAAAAATTGTCAAGGTATTGTGCATACATTGAAATTGTTATTTATTGTTACTTTTTGTAATTTTATGTCTTTACACTTTACCCTTGATAAAAGCAATTTTTTCTAACACATGTCATGCATTCAGTCAAACCCATCCCCACTTTACACCCTTTATTCATGCCCCTATACAGAATTACCCCTATTCTTTGCTATGGTAATCACCACTTAGGTTAAATATTCTCTTAGATGGGCATAATTAAATTTAAATAAATTCTGTTTTCCCTTTCAAAAACTCTATTCAATAAAGTTGTAGCACTATTCCAGTTTCAAATTATGTATTCATGTTATTTTCAGCCTTTAATAAAGTTAGTGACCATGTCTTATTCATCATTATATATCCTAATTTTAACATAGCAGTGGGCATATAGAAGGTCTTTAATGATTACTTGTTGAATGAATAGCTGAATATTACAAACTGCAATGACATAGGTTGAAATTTAACTAAGTGTTTTTAAGATTCTCCATTCATACTATTCTTCTTAATCTCTTAACTGGATAAGATAGTTCATTACTGTGCTTCTGCTTACATTTTATTCAGTAGAATCCATTTTGTTTTCAACAAGGTATCTTTGTTAAAAAAATGAAGCTAAATTAAATCGCTCTCTTCTGAAAACTTTTCACTGAACATGATTAAAATAAAATGATTTACAAGGCCCACCAGTCCATCTGTATTAGTCAGGGTTCTCTAGAGGGATAGAACTAACAGGGTTTAGTAAGTATTAACTCACATGATCGCAAGGTCCCACAATAAGCTGTCTGCAAGCTGAGGAGCAAGGAAGCCAGTCCAAGTCCCAAAGCTGAAGAACTTGGAATCCGATGTTCAAGGGCATCCAGCGTGGGAGAAGGATACAGACGGGGAGGCCAAGCCAGTCTAGTCTTTTCACGTTCTTCTGCCTGCTTTTGATTCTGGCCACACTGCCAGCTGATTAGATGGTGCCCACCCAGATTGAGGGTGGGTCAGCCTTTCCCAGTCCACTGACTCAAATGTTAATCTCGTTTGGCAACACCCTCACAGACACGCCTAGGAACAATACTTTGTATCCTTCAACCCAATCAAGATGACAGTCAGTATTAACCGTCACACTACCCATGAGTGGATGACTGCCTGCTTCTCAGAAATGAGTTTCTGTGACCTTTCTTCAATCTGTGTATTATGCACACTGGCAATATAATAATACGTATTATATTACATATGCAATATAATAATACGTATTATATTACATATGCAATATAATACATATTATATTACATATGCAATATAATAATACATATTATATTACATATAAGAAGTGTTACATTGGAAGCAATTAAGATCATTATTTTTAAGACATTTTCGTTTTGATGTATGTACAACAATCAGTTCTTTAGTAAAGACCCACAGTAATGTATTTTCTTAACTTTATACCTCAACTCATTTCTGTACAGTGTGACTAATTATCTAAGGTATTTCTACCCAAAATATTTCTCCCAGAAAGGTTACTTGATCCTTGTGAGTGTGCATTTTCATTACCAATAGCACAGCTATTGTGGTAAACAAATGCAATTACATCTGTAAGTGTATAGTTATATATGGGAATTGATGGCTTCAATTCAATTGTGGGAACTGAAACTCATGTTAAGAATGCTACATATAATGTGTGACTTTTTAGTAGTTTTGAAGGAGAAACAATTTATAAATAGAAGAGCACTTCAGAAAATAGAATTGTATGTGTAATTCTGGAAGTAAGAATGACCCGCCTAATGTAGCCTCAGATGATCAAGGGGAATCAGTTCTTGTTAGGCTTGAAAACAGTTTTCTTTCAAATGCCTTTTTCAAATGCACAGCTACTTTTCTTCTGTCAACTTCCCAATTTGCAAATTCTAGACTTTGATCTTAAAATATATTTAATCACCAGTATCCCATGATCTTTCTGATTAACTCTTTTAAATTTTTTTGCTTGTGAAGGGCAAATTGAACATTAATTAATTTAATTTTGTTAACATTATCTCTAAATAATCAGATTTGGTAGCATCCCATTACCAGATTCCCTTACATGAGACAATCTCATTAACAGACCCCTGAGATGTCACTTTATATCCATTTGGTAAGAGAGATACAGACATAAACTCATTATGTGATGCACTCTCCATTCTTAAATTGATGAGGTTTGCTCTGGCTATTGTTTGAAAGCAATATAGTTATTATGGAGTATTTCTGGAAAGGCCAAAAAGAAGAGGTTTAAAAAGAGAAGAGAAAAAGAAAGGAAGGAAAGACAAAAGGGAAGAAAGAAACTAGCAATGAAAGGCTTGAAAAGTGAAAATTTTGTTTCTTAATCACATTGCACAATAAAAATGTTAATTAAAAGTTATAGAAACTTTTGTGCATGCTTTGCTTAACCCCATAGAGCTATTGATTATGATTCAATGCTATTAAATTATTTGACAACAGAAAAATATAAATACATATTCTTGTCATTTCCATCAAAGGTAGTCTGATACCTTTAAGATAATTAGTACTAAATGTGTGTCTATTGGCTGGGCGTGATGGCTCATGCCTGTAATCCCAGCAGTTTGGGAGGCTGAGACGGGTGGATCACGAGGGCAGGAGATCAAGACCATCCTGGCTAACATGGTGAAACCCGTCTCTACTAAAAATACAAAAAAAAAATTAGCCAGGCGTGGTGGCGGGCACCTGTAGTCCCAGCTAGCCGAGATCGCAGCACTGCAATCCAGCCCGGGCGCGGAGCGAGACTCCATCTCAAAAAAAAAAACAAAAACAAAAAAAAGGGTATCTATTATTTGGATGTCAGTTAAGCAATTAACAATAGATTAAGTCTAATGAATATATTGGGTTAGGAAATGTAAGATCCTGCCTCACTTCAATACGCTCTGCTTACTGAAATACTGATGTATAGCTAGTGATGAGGTGGTCAGTGCTCAGGAAAGCAGAAAATAGAGCTTCTTTCTTTGTTCTATCCAACTGACATTGATACAAACTGAGGTGCTGGGACAACATTATAACTGATAAAACTAAAAATGTCTTGACAGAAATACTCTTTCACTTCCAAGCAAGATGAGAGTCTGCATTTCTTTGCCTTGGGAACATTAATAGGACTGAAATAAAGAACTGTAAGAAGACAAGTCTTTTTCAATTTTACTTTTCTTAAATACATAAGCTTTGTTTATAAAAATAGTAGTGCTACAAGATGTACAATTAAGAATAGCAATTTTTGTCTCATCTCCTCCACACCTCTGATTTCTACTCCCCAAAGACAAATTCATATCACCCATTCCACTGTTTCTTCTGGCATATTTCTCCATATTTCTAAATACTGGTATAATGCATATTACCATTTAGAGACCTTTTCATTTTAGAAAACAATTAGCTGCCTACTAAGAAAGATAAGAACGTAACCGTTCTATTCAATGCCCTCTTTGTCAGTTTCCTTGTGAGACACTTATCTCAGTACTCTCAGATCTCAATTTCCGGCTCAATAATCAGCGGTTACATTTTTATGACTATAAATAGCATTGAGAACAGACCCCTATGACCTATGATGATTATGTTTACTGATTTTGACAGCATCTTGCTTTTCTTGGCATCAATGATTATTTCATCTGTGTGTCTTTTCTTTCTGCCTATCACTGATTGATTAACCCAGACTTTCTGAGAGAACTATGAAACTCTTCTCAACATGTTTAAATACTTTTATCAGGTGAACTATCAATTCCACTTGTGTTCTTTCTTTCTGAAACACTCTGTCTTAACCTTCCAATTTCAATGTACTCTGTTCTAGACCTGCTACACAGATATTGTCATGGAACTTCTTTTGATTGTATTCCTGGGAAGTCTTGTTGCTTTTTCCTGTGTTAAGTACTTGCTTCCCAATTCCAGTATTAATATTTTTTCCTTTCATGGTTAAACTTTATCGTTTTTATTAAATATACTCTCCAGTGGCTTCATGAGGAACAACGAAAAAACGTACACATTTTTAGAACTTGCTTAAATGGTCTTGTTTATAGTCTCAAAATTAATCGATATTTTGGTTAGATATGACATTCTAAGCTACAATGTATGTCCTTTTTTAGCCCAATTTATTCCTTAGCTGCACATATTTTGCTATTAGCCTTGTGAATTTACTACTACTTGCTCTCAATATCCATTTGCGTCATTTTCCCAGTTTTTTCCTTTGTAGTCTCTGTGTGCTTATAAAGAAGACACCAACTGTGTAACATCAGATTTGGTTGCTGTAGAAGGACTCTGAATAACAGTAGCTTAAGTCACATAGGAATATTTCTCTCTTAGAAAGCTAGGTGATTTTATATTGGCAGTTGGGAGCTGACATGGTAACTCCACAGTATTAGGGATCCAGTTTAACCTGTCTAATTTCTCTGCCATTTTCAACACGTGGCTTCCATTTTATTATTTGTGATGGCGGATCCAGCATGCCAATCAGCAGGAAGAGGAGAAAGGGAAGTGGAAGATTCCTTCCTGTTAGCAGCTGTGCCAACATATCAATTTCTTCATAGCTCATATGTCAAAATAAAATAATAGGATTCTTTTTATGTTCTAATTACCTATTTTGTATAAGATCACATTTTTTTTTCAAAAATTTTTTTTCTTTTTTATGTTGCCTGATTTACTTGATTTTTTAAAACGTTTTTTTGTGGGTCATTTTTTGCTGTTGCTTTGGACACATATTTGACTACATATAACTAAAAGTGAAACACTAAAGGAATAATTGGAGAAAATTTGTGGATGAGTTTCACTTATTGAGTAAAGGGTTTTGCCATTAGTGTGAGAGCCTGTTATTCCATTGAGGACATCCTGAAATGTCATTAGCTGTAAGCCTACCATTGGTCTCTCCACTCCTCAAAAAGAATCCTGGAAAATATGTTGAGAAAGAGAGGACACAGGTGCTACTATTCATTATGCAGATCTGCATTAATTCTTAGTTCCTCATCTGTCCTCTGCAGCATTTAGTTCTTAGAGTCTGGAGCTTGCTGATTTAGAGAGTAAACTTTCTCTATGTGGCTGGAGTGGGATGGACACATTTGCCTGGCAACAAAGGCTTAGTGAAGAAATCTGGTTACCTCAGTCATACTGTTTCCAGTATTATTCCCCCATATTTCAGCCTTCAGAAATAACTGTTGCTCCCAAAGCCCTAAGCCTTCTGGTTTTCAGGGGGTTAAATTAGCTAGCTTGTTACTGACTCCATGACCTTGAGGATTATCTTTTTCTCTCTGCTCTGTCAGTTGCCAATCACTCACCATTTTCCTTGTCTCAAAATGTGTTGACATTTCTTATCAGCAGCTGTAAGTTTTCCATTCTTTCTCCCCTTGTTGAAATATAGTTTTATTTTTTATTTTGATTTTTTTTACTGTTATATTAGTGAGAGTTGAGGAGGAAACAGATAAAAATATGTAATCAATGCTGCATGCATAAGTGAAAGTTTCCTAAGTTTAGTAGTAAAAAATAAGGGTAGTAAAAAATAATAGCCCCTATAAATAAAAAGAGAAAGGATAGACATGTGTGGTTTCCAAAAAGAATCCATATCCTGATCATTGTCTGCTTTCCAGGGAGTGGGCACACGGTCAAGATGACATCTCTATGTGGTACTTTCAGAGGCTGGATCCTGGGTACCTGAGCTCTCAAACTCAGCAAGAATCTTTCAAACCAAACAAAGCAGGGAGGCCAAAAGACTTCATCAATGAGGACATGAGTAGTGACCAAGATGGTCAAATAAAATAAGCCATTCTCCAATTTGTAGGCCACCTGGGGGAAGGGGAGTGCTCGTAAGGCATGGACATGCTCTGTGCCTTGTTAAAGCTGTTAAACAAGATGCCATCTAGACACACAGATATTTGATTAAGTGCTGTTTATTGTTATTCTTGCCAAAGGTCTCACTCCTAATTACGTCATGGGACTAGTGATACTTTTTTTTTTGGAGTTACCAATATTTTCCTATTATGGTTTTACTTTCTATTTTTTCTAGAAGTATAATTATCTGAAATTGCTAATTATTCAATAGACTGACAATAAATTATGAGACTTTCCTCAATTTGTTTAAAATACTTTAAATAACTTGCTTTTTAAAAAAATTACCTGTATTTAAAATTATACAATTTTATGATACAGCCATAATTTTGGGGGAGAAAAACATTAATTTGAAACTACTGCCCTCGGTGTGACTGATTATATTACACTACACTCGGTTTTATTTCTGCTATATACAATAGTCATTCACAAAGGTATTTAAAAATGTATGTATGTAATAGAAATAACAACTCTTGGAGAAATCTAGTACTTCTTTCAGGACACAATACCAAATATACTATTTATAGATTCTTTGTCTTAAAGTATTTTATAGATGAATAATCAATTCCAATGCTAAAGTGTACACTTTATATTAAATAGTCTGTTATCGTGTATTCAGCTGATTTTCTGAGTCTTTTGCCAATCAATTACAAATAAATGGAACATGTAGTTATTTGGTTAAAAACACAGTTAACAATTAGAGATTTGTATAAATTCAGCTGCTAAGATGTCAGAAAATATGCAACATATTAAAAGCGAAACTATTAATTCCTCTAAATTTGACAGTTTAAATACTAAACTCAAAGAAATTTCTCACTTAATCAAGTATGCCAAACATGTATCTAGTTATTTTTGGAGTGCTGTAATTTCAAATATTTGATCACCTTTTCAGATCATTTTGTTTTGGAAAATACACTCAGAATGCAATTAAGACATACTTTGAGGAACTGCAAGACACATACCAAGAGAGATGTTAACACACTCAGAAAATGCCAGAGCTACTTCCTTTTGTATTGTTAAACAAGCAAGGACTTGCTTTGTGTAAAAAAAAAAAAAAAGAAAAAAAAATCTATGTTGGCTTTTGTGAACCCTCAGCACATGTGGTTTGTTAATTTTTAAAACTTTGTAGATGGAATTTCTAATTTACTTGCTTTTTTTCCTGGCATTCTTTAGCTCTTCCTCTCCTCTGGATCTCCTCAAAACAAAAACATATGCGTCCCTCTCATCCTTGACCTTCTTAGTTTCTGCCTGGTTTCCTTCTCATCTCTTTTAAGTTTCTTGAAAGAGTAATCGGCTGTGCTATCCCAATTCATACTTCAGTCTACTGTCTTTACATTTTCAACTCTATTATTTATCTGAAGCTTCTCTCTAAAGCTATTTGTTCAAAACAAATGAGCATTTATTAAGTTCCTATATTGATCGCCAATTGTTTTATCATACGTATTTGTTCTCGTTTCCTCCTTGCACCTCTATATCTCCCTTGTCTCAGTATCTTAGGACTCCTGCACCCCATGATAAGCAGAATTCCAAGATGGCCTCCCAAAGCTGTGCCATTGTCAGAGGCATTTGAACCAGAGTGACTCCATCTTGAATAGGGGCTGGGTAAAATAAGGCTGTGAAATGCTGGACTGCATTCCCAAGAGGTTAGGTATTCTTACTCCCAGGATGAGATAGGGGGTTGGCACAAGATACAGGTAAAAAAGACCCTGCTAATAAAACAGGATGCAGGAAAGAAGTCCACCGAAACCAAGATGGCAATGAAAGTGACCTCTGATTGTCCTCACTGCCCATTATTGCTAATTATAATGCATTAGCATGCTAAAAGACACTCCTGCTAGTGCTATGACAGTTTACAAATGCCATGACAATGTTCAGAAGTTACCCTATATAGTCTAAAAGGGTGTTGCCCCTTTTAGACTATATAGGGTAACTTCCAGAATCTCCACCCCTTTCCTGTAAAATTCAAGAATAATCCACTCTTCGTTTAGCAAGAAATACCTGTAGGTAAACTCAATCAAGCAGCCCATACCACTTCTCTGTCTATGGAGTAGCCATTCTTTTGTTTCAGTACTTCTCTAATAAACTTGCTTTCCCTTTATGGGCTTACCCAGAATTTTTTTTTTTTTTTTTTTTTTTTTTTTTTTTTTGAGGCGGAGTCTCGCTCTGTCTGTCGCCCAGGCTGGAGTGCAGCGGTGCGATCTCGGCTCACTGCAAGCTCCGCCTCCCGGGTTCATGCCATTCTCCTGCCTCAGCCTCCCAAGTAGCTGGAACTACAGGCGCCCGCCACTACGCCCGGCTAATTTTTTGTATTTTTAGTAGAGACGGGGTTTCACCGTTTTAGCCGGGATGGTCTCGATCTCCTGACCTCGTGATCCGCCCGCCTCGGCCTCCCAAAGTGCTGGGATTACAGGCGTGAGCCACCGCGCCCGGCCACCCAGAATTTTTTTTTCACAAGATTCAAGAACCCTCTCTTGAGGTCTGGATCAGGATCCCTTTCTGGTACCACCACCCTAAACCTGTGAATATGAGGAGATATCGCTCTTAAAATTATGTCATGTAATGTGGCACCGTTGACCTTACGGTAAAGAGAATATCTGTCGAACCTAATCACAAGAGCCCTTTCAAAAGCAGACTTTTTTCTCTGGCTTTAACAGAGGGAAAGATTTGAAGCAAGCAGAGCATTTAATGCACTGTCACTGGCTTGAAGATGGATCGGACTATTTAGGGTAGAATGTAGGTGGTTTACAGAAGAGGACCAGTTAATGGTCACTGAAGAAATGGGGACTCCCATCCTACAACTTCAAAGAACTCAATTTCCTGAGCAGAAAATCCAGCCACATCATGCTCTTCTTCTGAGAGATTGAACTGTGAGCTAATAAGCAAATATTGTTTTAAGTCACTCAGTCTGTGGCAATTCATTACACAGCAGTAGAAAAATAATACGCATCCTTTATGATTAGTCATTCCTTTGGGCTATTAATATTTTTTATACATTTATTTCACAGATAATCTTATTCTTTCTCATCATTTCAAACCCCCTGAATATTCATAACTATTGAAAATATTATCTCCAAACCTTAAACACTATATTTTATACAAATTTCCTGTTATATGTCTACTTTTGACTATCAAAGAGATGATTCATACACAACTATTCTCAAACTGCATATAGATATAAACTCACCATCTTCAACAACTGGTTCCTCTTATATTTTATAACCAGTCATTTTACAAATAGCCAAAGCGTCGTACATATATGTTAGTCCTGAGATCTTATTCATTTTAAACAAAATTGCATAGATAAGCCATTCACCCTTCCTTTCACAGTCGTATAGCTGGTATTACTGGAGGATTACTTTCAATGTATATGTAGAAACTAAAGTTATTAAAGCACTCTAAACTAAAAAATATGCTTCCAAAAATATATTCCATTTTTGTCTTTTTATATTTTACTGGTTTCTCAAAAGAATATGTGAATAAAGTCATCTAGTTACAATGACTGATTATATCTCTCTTTATAACATATGATGAATCCAGATGAATCCACAGTGACTATAAACAAACATAAACAATGAACAAGAGACACAAAAATGAAAGAAAATGAGCTGGAGGCCACAAAAATAATTAAATATTCAAAAATTTCTTTACACTTATACCTTGAGGTATTTGCCACACAGGGTGTCAAAAAGAAATATTTTATTACTTTAAATTATTAAAACAATAGATTATTAGAATAATTTAAATAAATATAAAATCTAAGTGTATATTGAAAATTTTAAAGATATTTATATTGATCCATTATAGCCGAGCAGCTAAACTTTCTCTACACTTTTATTTCTAGTAAATGTATTGAGCTAAAGGAAAAAATAAGAAAGAAAGAAGAAAGAAAAAGAAGAAAAAAGAAAATTGAGATTCTGAACTATATGTTACGCAAATTTGAGATATCAAGTTCATGGTTTATCAATTCCTGACTAGCAAGAGTTTCTTCATTCTTCATGAATATTTCATAATTAAATATGAACAGAGATGAACTTAATATCCCAACAGGATTGCTGCTTAGCAGAATTAAAGCATTCAGACACTTAGGACACCAGCAATCTTACTTGACTTTGAAAAAGATAAAATTCAGTTAGTTTGGACTAAGGATGAAAATAATGTGTTCTCAATGCCTTCCTTTTTATCCCTCAAGAAGTCTCGATCTGGGTTGATGTGCTTGGAGATTCTTTAGGTCAAAAAATACTGGGTCTTCCAATTGTCTAGCTATTTTCTATCAACTCTGGAAGCCACTTCATTAACTTCCTAGCTCCAAAACAAAGTTTGAGAATTAAACTGTGACTGATTCCTAATTGCATCAGAGTTTTTCAGCCCAACATGAATTTATTCAGGAGGCAGAACAAACCCAAATCTTGACTTACCACAGTATGCGTGTCTTGCCCAAATGCACATATTCATTTCAGTCTTCTTCTGTTTTCATGTTTGAGTAATGAGGTGGAAATAAATATTAGGTAGTATACAGTTGTTTCTTAATATCTGTATGCCTTTTTAAAAAATAAACTTTATTTGTTAGAACAGTTGTAGAATTATAAAAGGAATTTACAGATAGTACTAGCCCCATACAATCCAGACCTAGTTTTCTCTACGGTTAGCACCTTATATGTTATAGGATATGTTTGCTATGATTAATGAACCAATATTGACACATTATTACCAATTTAGAGCTCTTTCATTTTTCTTAATTTTCCCATTGCAGGTTCCCCTAATGGATTACATTTAGTTACACATCTCTAGACACCTGTTGACTGTGACAGTTTCTCAGACTATCCTTGCCTTTAATGACTTTACCAGCTTTGAGAATTACTGGTCAGGTATTTTGTAGAATATCTCCCTATTGGGATTTGATGTTTTCTCATGATTAAACTGGGGTTATGGGAGATGGAAGGAAGGCCACAGAGGTAAAGTATCACTTTCATCACGTATCAAGGGCACATGTTATGAGCATGACTTATCACTGTTGATGTGGACCTTGATTACCTGGCAATAGTACTGTTTGTTGGATTTCTCCACTATACAGTTACTAAGTTTACCTGTTTGTATACTGAACTCTTTGGAAGAAATTCATTAAGCAGTGCAACAACATTTTTAAAAGTAGTAGTATTGGATGATAACATAAAGTACAAAATAAATATCCATTAGTCCATATTGATGTAAGTACAATATCTGATGAATAAATACACAGGGGAGATAAATACAAATCACTCATGCAAAAGACTTCCAAATAGCTTATGTAGATATGCCTTATTCTGGAGGCAGAGCATAACTCTCTGCTTCTTAACATGGGTTTTCTTTAGACTTCTCTTAGTGGTCCTATTTAAATATGTACCTAAGAGGATTTCTGTAATATGATGGGGATAGATGATATTAAGCTTAGATTTTCCAAAATTAAAGAAAGCCACATAAGTCTCTATTCAAACATTTTAATGAATGTTAAGTATTATATTTACTAATAAAAATTCAGAATATTTAAGGCAAAGTGAAACTAACATTGTTTGGGAGAGAAAGGTTGTTTATTTCAAAATATGGCTTGTACTTTCATGGACATAGGAAACCTTAAGGACATAAACGAAAAAAATAAGAAACGGAAAAATACTAAATGCTAGTGTTAATGGCATATTTACTGAAATTTGGGGAAAGAAATTCTAGGAGAGAGGAATTAAAAAAATCTCATTAATGAAGTGTACTTAATTAAGTGAATGTTGATAATGAAAGTTTATAAATTTATACTGCTCCTCAAATTTCTTCTTTATTCTGGCAAAAGTGTACTTAAATATACTCACACCCATATGTGCAAGCATACACACTCCACATATTTGAGTTTTTGTATACTTATGTCTATGTTGTGCAGGTATACACACATATGTGTATGTGAATGAGTTTGTATATGTCTAAGAGAATGGAGTCACCATTAGTATATACACTTATGAGAGTCAAGTGGTTTGGTAAATTGCTTGATTTATTCCTTAGGAAACTTTTATGTGCTGGAAAGGTGTATCTTAACAGGGAAATTATAATACAACATCCATGATGCTCTAGCATATAACATTAAATTACTTAATATCAACAATCATCTATTTTCTTGTGCTTATATTGATATATTTTCTTTAATGTAGGTTATTTAAATAATATTCACTATCTACTTTAAATAATAGTGAATATTATTTAAATAACATATCTGGAAAATTTGATACTCTTAGGAAAATAATTTATGACACATGATGCATAAAATACCTTAATACCAAACAGTAGTTGAATTTATTATATTTAAATCTACATATTTTGTAATGATTTAGAACAGCATGTTAACTTTTTCTTAACTAATTTTTTTACATTTAAACTAATGTAAAATGCAATCAATTATGTATGAAATCTTATTTTGGCAAATTTCAGCCATTTTAAATATCACTGAGTTGAAAATTAATATGAAGGTGCAAATGCACCTACATGATTAACAAAACATTTTAAATATTACAACACTACGTTGTCAAAAACTGGAAAATGAAGAAAGTGCCCTTAAGAATGATATGTTGTACAAAAACTAAACACAAATCTTTACATTGGCAGCGAGATGGCTCATTTACAGGAAATATAAAAACACTGGCTGATCTGCAAATTACCTTTACTTCTCTTCACTCTGCAGGGTGGTTGGGATTTTTTTTTTTTTTAAGCAGTAGTCTCTTAGGAACATACAGTTCAGGATTTTGTGTACTCAGAATTTTTTCTAAATGACATAATCTTGCTCAAAACATCACCCAGAAACCCATTTGCTCCCACAAGAGACTTTTTAATTAACAGTCACATCTGTGCTATTACACTATATTTTTGCAAAGCTAGCAACAACTTAAACCACATTATTAAATTATGAAAAAAATGTAAAAATCTCAATGGACTTGTTTGATGTTTCGAGAGCCAGCAGTAGTGATCTCTATGATTCTAGGGTTTGGGCTTGACTTACTTAAAATTTTGTAACAATGTTATTAAATATTTAATGCTATAATATTTTCAGCACCTTTTAAATATAAATGACATTAAAAATTAACCTGTTTAAACTATTAAAGGTTACCTGAGTAAATTTGATTAGAAATCTGTTTCAAATCTATTTAAAGTAGCAGTGATGCTAGAAGATGCATTTTTAAAAAGAAACTAATAAATCAATAATTAATACTTCAATGAAATATATATTAAATTAAACAATATAAGTCTAAAATTACTTTGTAGAGTTGAGGTTGCTTAAAGAGATTGAGACAATTTATCTGTCATTGCTATATTATTCTCATCCAACTTCTGTATACATCTTATTTAAGTGATAATAGTCACTGGCCTAATTATTATCGTATAACATAAGATCAAATGTTTGCTATACCTTTCTTGTTTTTCAGTTTTCCTATTTTTTAATTTCTTTTCATTATAATATGCTGTTATTTAATCATTCACTGGAAATATATACTGAAATTTTCCATTTTTTATTTTTAAATTATAATTCAAAAGCAAACTCATAAATTCATATCTAACATTTGATAATAAAATATTACTGAAATGAAGCAAAGATAGAATCTATATTTATTAAGTAAACTCTTTTAAAGTCTTTGCCAAGTTAATAGCTATACTCTGCACTTATCAAGTAGAGTATGTCAAAACTCAAATAAGCTACATATTAAACATATTCATATTAACTCTTGCTAAGAAAAATATAATTGTGCATGGTTTAAAAGCATTTAATATTATGTCAAATATTTCAAATCACTGTATGAAAAATTGTTGAAGTTTACTCAATTTTAAATCACATGCAAATCCGAGAATTAATTATAATTGATTTTATGGAACAGTAAATCAGAACTTTTAAAAATCTGTTTTTTTTCAGTAAGTTTTGAATAGTACAATTTAACTTTTTTTTATATCACTGAGGGCCAGAAAATGCTGATTTAATTTGATAGTGATAAGACTTACCCCCTTCTAAACTGAATATTTAAAATATGTCAGCCAATTCTGATGACTTAATAATTTGTATAAAAAATTTAGGGCCGGACGTGGTGGCTCACGCCTGTAATTCCAGCACTCTGGGAGGCCGGGGTGGGTGGATGACCTGAGGTTAGGAGTTAAAGACCAGCCTGGCCAACATGGCTAAACCCCATCTTACTGAAAATACAAAAATCAGCCAGGCATGGAATCCCAGCTACTCGGGAGGCTGAGGCAGGAGAATTGCTCCAACCCAGGAGGCAGAGGTTTCAGTGAGCCAAAATCATGCCACTGCACTCCAGCCTGGGTGACAGAGTGAGACTTTGTCTCAAAAAAAAAAAACAAAAAACAAAAAACAGAAAGAAAAGAAAAAAAAGTAAGAAAAAATTTAGTGCAACATATGATAATATTGTTACTTTCCAAAAATTAAAAAGGATCATGGGTTTTATAATTTGGAAACATGAGTATGTTCGCCTTTGGTGTGTTTTAGAAAAGGTGTGATAGTTATAATTGATACTCCTTAATTCAATCAATACAAAGTATTTCCATTTATATCAAACAGTATAAGAGTGCATGAACTTGGACTGTGACTCTTTTCTTCTTTCTGAAATGCTTCTTTTAAATTACTGTTTCTATTTATGTATTCATTAAATAAACTTATACAGTGTTTTATTATGTCTAGACACACATTACAAATTTTCAATGACATGAATTATGTAACATCATGTCTCTTTTCTTGCAGAATTGCATATGTTTATATACACCGTATAATTGAGGCTGGGACTATTGAATGCATCTCATCTTTGAAATAAAATAGACTTCAGTGTGGCCCAAGCCAGCAAAAAAATAAGATTAGCCTTAGATTTATAAATAAAAACAAAGCAAAACAAAACACCACTTCCCCTGAAGTAACAGAGAAATAAGAAAAGTTATTTTAGATACAGTTAAAGATTGTAGACAGCTGAGTATCTCTGGTAACTTGAGGAACTATGAGAGACATGAAAAATGAAGCCATCAAACATTTCACAAAGCTGACTTGGAAACTAGGAAATTGTCAAAAGATTACTGAATCCTCCCAGTTACACCCTTTGGCAGAGCTGTGCGATTTGTCAGAATAGTGTTTAGCATCCCAGATAAAAGAAAAGGGATTGATGACTGTAGGATTCATGCAAGATATGGGTATGAGGGAAAAATTATCCTGGGAGAAAGGGAATTTTATCAGTAATCGAGAATATGGCTGGAATGATGAACTTTATTGTCTGGAAAGAAGTCAAGCAATAAGTGGTTTGGAGAAATTAGGAGAAAATGGTCCTGGGTATAACAATAGGGCTGATAAGCACTAGTGGTTGAAGGAAGGGCTTGAACGAAATGGTGTGATAAAAAGTACTTAACAAAAAGTGGAGACCAGGAATATGACATTGAATAGCCAAGAACAATTTTGTTAGGAGCAGCTGTGAGAGTAGGTGGAGATGAAAACCACTGGAGTCTAGTTTGACATGTTTTTCTCATGAAGACAGACTCTCTAAACCTCAGGTTTCCTATAAGACAGACAATAAAATAATGTGGCTTATTAAAGTACTGTGAGAATTAAACTATAAAAGGTAAGTGATTGACACAGCACTAGGCACACTGAAAGAAAATATTTTCCATGCATAAATGAACATTTTAAAGCATTTTTTTAATTTTCCCCCCTTCTCTCAATAACAAAGGGACCACATCATGACTCACCCTTTTGGTTTAATTTGTAAGATTTTTATTTTTCAAATGAAAAAATCTCCAGTGCCTACTTTCTGCTGGCTTTCTGCATGTGTTGCTGAATTAGTTTTACTAAAGCAAATCTGTATTAAATCTGTCTCACTTTTTTGTATGTTCTCTGCTTTGGCCACTAGATAAGTTATAAAGCCTTGTCAGACTTCCTGAAAGCTGGTTTTTGGTCCCTGGGAAGCCAGCCCACAGTGGTTTGTTTAATGATTCTACATGTGCCAAAACCTTCTCAAGTATTGTGGATTGTATCTTTACATTAGTTTCACATAACTCATTTCTTTAGTTGCTTGCAAGCACACAAGGAGATGCTTCGTTCCATTGTTCTGCAAGCTACTCTGCCTGCATTTCGAACTATTTATCATGAAAAGAGAGTAACATTAAAGAGTTTCTCTCTGTCTGCATCAGTAATTTCACATCTAGCAGCAAAGTTTTTATTTTCCTGGAGCTTGCTCAAGTGCTCCTTTTACATGTAATGCTCCCATTACATTTTTTTTTTTTTTTTAGTAAAACTATTTCTGTGTATTGGCCTGGAGTCAAACTAGAAATAATTATTGACTGATTTCTCCACCATTAACTCTGAGAGTCTCTTGCTTGTTGCTCAGCCATTTGGTTGTAGACATATTAATTACAGACTCTGTTTCACACACTTTCCCTGGTAGTTGTTTCAACATTCTCATGTCTTCCTGAAAAACCTATGCCTTATATATGGAAATTTTATCAGCCAGATGTATAAAACCTCTTCTGTGAAAATAAACTAGGATGGAAGATTCGTGATTAAATCATAACAGTCCTTTGATCTGTTTATCATTTCTACAATAGGTGTTTCCATGTGAAACTCAATTCTTTCTTCATTTTGTTCCTAAATGGTGATTTTCAGGGCAGCATGATGCTTTCTTAACTCTTTCAGCTAAATGGGGTTACATTAAATTTAGGGCTTTACTCTATGAGAACTAAGGAATAGAAAATAGTGTGAACTTCTAATGGGGCTTTGACATTAAACACATTCCCATTCCTGGGGTGGACTCAGTGTTGTAATTAAGTTGCTCTTAACTGCACTAAATAATACCCTGGCAATATAAAAGTGATATTATTTAAAGTTGCCTAGTTGGTGACCAGAGAGTAAGACCATGTGAAAATCAGATCATTATATTGACCCCCGCTTTGCCCATTTTTTCTCTCACCGATCTTCTATCACATAACTACAGTTACTGCTAAGCAGTATGAGTACATAAATACATACTGGCTTTAAAATGCTGTTAGTGGAATATTAGTAGACATATTAGATCTTCTTATGGCACTTTCTTTGGCTCAATGGGCAGCCAATTAGCACTGTGGGACATAGAAATATAGCATCACAAACAAGCTATTTGTGTATTCCAGTATTAAATTATTTTTCCTTCAACTCAATAAAAGTAATGTTAATGACAAGATCTCCTGAGTGAACTCACCTTCTGAAGCATTTTCCTTGATCTCTAATTCATTCTATTTTTCTTCATTACTTCAATTTAACATTGAAGGTGACTCATTAGAGAAAACACCAAGATATCAATGTAAGGATTTAAGGCAAGTAAAGAGCACTGTCCAAGGTACAGCAACATATCAAAACATTTTAATTAAAGTAATGGAACTAGGGAGGCATTTTAGAAGATGGAATCTCTAAGCTTGATAAAATGAAAGAGCCATCTATGTGCAGCTGAGTGTTATCTTTTCTTAGAACGCACACAATGAAGAAAATAAAAGGCATTCAAATTACTATTATAATAAGAAATATTTGTTGTTCAACAACATTTTATTTTAACATGGAGTTTGTACTTTGACTGATATTTTTTAAAAAATTCTCTCTAAAGACATAAAACTTTCATTTCAGTAGAGTGAGATTTTTGATAACATGTTATTTGTAGATGACACAGAACAAATGGAAAGCCATTTGGCTAAGAAATGTATACTAACTCTGATTTATAGAAAATATCTATTTTCATATCCAGATAGAAGAATTCAGTAGTTATGAAAGCAATCTTATAATTTAAATTCATCCATCAGTCATGGGATCGTTTGATGTGGTTATTTTGCTGGACTATCTAAATATCTGAGGTGTATAAAGAATTAACATAGATTCTCTGGAAAACGTGCTTTTGTGGGAATAGCTGTAGCACTCACTGAGAACATCTGAGTCAATAAATAGTGTATTCCAATTTGTTACTTAAAATATGATGGCAAGAAGAGACTGCCTACACAATAAATGGAAGGAAGGAAAAAGCTGTAAAAATAAGATTCATAAGTTTATGTTCCGAGCTTAATAAATGTTACCACCAGTATTTTATCAACAACTTGATAATCTAATGACATATTTCTTAGGAGCCAATTTGGTTTTAAAGCATTATAACTTACAGCACCACCCTTTGACACTAGCAAGGAGAGCTGAGAGTTTCTGACAGGGGCCTAGCATATTTGAGGGGCTCATTCTAGCTGCTGAAGAGTGTCCAATCCAGGGTGCAACCACTCTCCCCATTGGAGACATACTCCAGATACTCTCTGCCCAAAATAAGCCTGACAGTTGATCCAGGGCCTGTGCCAGGTTCTTTGCCAGTCAGTCCTCTAGAAGTCAGATCATCCCTGCAGACCCAACACTATTTTAGAGGGCCATTAAAAGGGGAGCTGTTCATAGTTGTGTAGGGTCTACACAGCAGGCAGAGTTTGAGTAAGTGGGCTAGAGTGCATGCATGGAAATTCCTTCACCGTGCTGGAGGTTCCTGCAGATGGAAAGAAAAGTGGGATGGGCAGCAAGCCTTCTAGATAAAAATGAAGACATATTTATTAATGGGAGGATAGAAGATGTTTTACTTAATAGCTTGATATCTAACAAAGATTTAGACATTCAGTATGTGATAGTTTTCCATTTTGCTCCTTTCAGAGACTGCAAATGGTAAAGACATGCTCAATGCTATTTTCATTCAACCAGAAATGCCATAAAATATAATGTGCACCATATGAATCCAATGTGCCACAAAAACAATTCAGAAACATTGACAACTCAATGACTACACAACATGTTTTATAACTTTTATGTTCATACTTTTTGAAAAAGGTTTTTAAACTTAAAAGTATGATCATATGTGACTCTGTGCTTATTTTAAAAAGTACAAGAGAAAAATATTAGTTAAGTTATGCCTAACGGTCTCCATAGTCACACCCTGCAGATTCGGAATCAGATATTGATTCTGGCCTGTCTATATCTGTGTTTTTCCATACGTTATTTTTCCCTGTGCTTCGAAGAGCTGTGGCAATGCATCATTTCTGAAAGAGTATTCCATCATTTTCTCTAGAAATTCTTCAGGCTACTGACATTCATTTCGTAATATCTGATTTTCTGCATGCTATTACCATCAACAGAAAAATTTCAAACTAAGCTAGTACATGTAAAGGAAATGACATCCTCATGGCACTGCCCTAGCTAAGTGTGATTGCAAAATGGGTTCTAATTTTGGAAATGTGAGAGTGTGTCCATGTATGGTATGTGCATAATTGATGAAATAAAGTCATTCATATATAATGTTCTAACAATGTTAAGCCTGAAAAACCCACCTGGCACTCTTGTTAGCAGGTTCCTGTTTCAAGTCTTGCTCACTTTAATATCCTTCTTTACCTTCCTCTCTTCGTTCCTGTCCTTCTTCCTTCTCATTTTCTTTATAAATTGTAACGATCTGTGGGGGTATTTATTTTATTGTAATGCACATGACACACATATGCATGACTCATTAACTCTGAGATATTTCAAGATTACTAGAAGTGCCAAGGTTTAAGTTACCAAGTGATGTTGAAAATTCAACTGGGAGCAAATTAGATAATAATGAATAAATAATAGCTTAGTTACTACATTTAGTTACTACATAGTAACTACAAATAATTAGCTACATTTGATCTTAGGGCACTTTGTTTACTTTGTAGATACTTTTGATAGACTTTATTAAATAAATACAAGTATGTGTTGCAAGAACTTGAACTTTCATTTTGTAAAATTATACTGTTATTTGTCTCATTATATGTCAAGTATGGGTTTTGTGGTGTTGAAAGAAGGTGTATTTTCACTAAGTTATTAACCAAAGCTAGTAATTTAAACTTGTTTACTCTTTTCTTTCTGGAACCTTGATATGGTTTGGATATTTGTCCCCTCAAATCTCATGTTGACATATGATCCCCAGTGTTGGAGGTTGCAGCCTGGTGGGAAGTGTTTGGGTAATGGGGGTGGATCCCTCATGATGAATGGCATGGTAATATCCTCACATAATGAGTGAGCTTTCACTCTGAGCTCACTCAAGAACTCTTTGTTTAGAGCAGTGTCCTCCTCACTCTTGCTCCCACACTCCCCATGTGACATGTCTGCTCTTCCTTTACCTTCCACCATGATTGTAAGCTTCCTAAGGCCCTCACCAGAAGCAGATGCTAGTGCCTGCTTCTCGTACAGCCTGCAGAGCCATGAGCTAATTAAACCTCTTTTCTTTATAAATTACCCAGGCTCAAGTATGTCTTTAAAGTGAGGCAAGTTCAGACTAACACAGACCTTATACATAATTAACCTCATAGATTTCTCCTAATTATTTAATGTGGTCTCTATGACATTCCATAATTTCGCCTATATCCCTGCCTTTCATTTCATGCTACACTATATAATCATTGTTTTCGGAAGTTGACCCCATTGATCTTTTTTGAATTCCTATTAACCACAGCACCTCTCTCTCCACTGTCCTGTTTCATTTAAGAGTCTTTTCTTGTGAAGTTTACTCTTTTAGAAACCCTTCTTTGCTATCCCTAGTCTCTATGGATTTTTTTCTCTTTGGTAAGTTAATTAAAGATTAACATTTTGGTTGTTTCGAGTTTTCTTTCCAGTTACTACAAACAAAGCTGGTATAAACAATCATGTACAGGATTTTCTATGAACATAAGTTTTAATTCCTCCAGGATAAATGTTCAGGAGTGCACTTGCTGTATCTAATTTTATAAAAAACTGACAATTTGTTTACCAGAGTGGAAATAATAGGCAGAATTCTAAGATGGATTCCATGATTCCCACCCACTAGTGTACCTGCCCCCTATAAAATCTTCTCCTTGAATGCCAGTAGAATTTGTGAATATAAAAACCACTCCTGTGATACGGCCAAAGAAACTTTTAAGATGTAATTAATGTTCCTAGTCAGTTGACTATGAATGAATCAAAAGGGAGGTTACCATAAGTGAACCTTACGTAGTCCCTTGAGCCCATTAAAACAGACTCAAATACACATAGACTTTCTTTCTGGACTTGACGGAGCATATTAAATGGCATGGGTCATGTGGAAAGGACCCAAGAGTAACCACTAGATGCTGAGAGTGGCCTTTAGCCAATAACTAGCAAGAAAATTAGGACCTCAATTACATAACCACAAAGAAATGAGTTCTTCCAACAACCTGAGTCTTCTTAAAATAAGCTCTATTAATCCAGCCACCCAATGAAGACACAGCTACCCAACACCTTAATTTTAACCATGTGAGACTCTGAGAAGAGGACTTGTACAATAAACAGTATTTGTCTGGCTTTTATTATCAGATTCTGAGAGGTAGGTAGCCTCTAAATCTTTGGGTTTTGCCAAGTGATAGAAGGGTCTTCGTTATTCATGGTGACCCTTCGGCTCACACTTGAAAGTTTATACTGACAAGGTGACTCATGGTGGGCTCCTAGATTAGTTTGTGTTAAGGAGATGACTCAGGATGGGATCTGGTCAAGCTAGAAAGAACAACCATGTGATAAGAGGGTTGGGGCTTTGAGCCTGACTGCTTGGGATGGGAGAAGGGCTGAAGACTGAGTCATATGGCCAATGACTCAATCATGCATAGGTAATGAAGTCATACTTAAAATTCTGGACACCAGCACTGGGCGAGCTTCCCTGATTGGCTGTAATCTGATTATGGTAACACATCAGTATGCCTGGAGGGTAATGCACCCTGATTACATGGGAGAGGATAATGAAAGTTTCACATTTGAAACCCTCTCAGAGAGGATTAAGAAAAGCAACTGATGGTACTAGGCTTAATACTTGGGTGATGAAATAATCTGTACAACAAACTCCAATGACACAGCTTACCTATGTAACTAACCTGTACTTGTACTCCAGAACTTAAAATAAAAATTAAAAAATAAATCAATCAAAAATTTAATTTTAAGAATTTAAAATTAATAAACTTGAATCTATGTATAGCAAAAAAAGAAAAAAAAAAAAAGAAGAAAGAAAGAAACCCTCCCAGACCCCACCCCAAGTGTCTTTCCATTTGGTCAGTTCTGATTTGCATCCTTTTGCTATTATAAAAGAGTAATCATATTTATAGGATATTCCTGAGTTCTATGAGTCCCTCTACAAAATTATTGAACCTGAAGGGGGGTAGTGTAGTAACAATCTCAGAAATTGTAGCCAACTGGACAAAAGTGAGGGTAGTCTTGGAATTTCCAAAAGAGAAACTGTTGTCTGAAGTGAGAACAATCTTATGAAGGACTGTGCTATTAACCTGTGAAGTTTGCCCCAACTCTGGTCATTGGTAACAGCAGTCAGGCAGGCTGCATCTACTACCAGACTCCTGACACAAGGAAATGGAGAAAATGGACTGTTTTGTTTTAAACTGCTAAGTTTGTGGTAAACAGTAACAATAGAAAACTAATAAAGTGACTATCCCCTTTTATATTTTCACAATCAATTTATAAAACCCCCAGTTGTTCCCCAGCCTCACCACCAGTGTTGTCAATATATTTTTTTTTTTATTTTAGTAATTTTAAGATACCTAAGATTGTCTTAACCTGTTGTGTCCTTCTATACCAGAAATCCTGCTACAGGGTAATTTAGAAAGAACAGAGATTTATGTTTTTTTGGTTTTAGAGGCTGGGAAGCCCAAGATCAAAGGGCCCACACCTGGTGCGGGCCTCCTCGCTGCATCATCCCATGGCAGAAGGCAGTAGACAAAAGGGCAAGGGAGTGAGCACGTGCAGGAGGAGCCAGAGTTGCTTTTATAACAAATTCACTCTCAAGAAAACTAATCAACTCCAGTGAGAACACCCTTACTCCATTAATGAAAGCAGAGCCCTCATAACCTAATCACCTGTTAAAGGCCTCTCCTCTCAATATTGTTGCATTGGGTGTTAAATTTCCAACACATGAACTTTGGGGGACACATTCAAAACATAGCAGTGATGGTATCTCATCTTGATTTTAATTTCCATGTCCTAACGGCTAATAATATTGAACATCTTTTCATGTCCTTACTTGCAGTTTGATATTGTCTGTTATAGATTGTGCCTTCGGGGTCATGTCTAGGAACATTTTTTCTAGCCCAAATTCACAAAACTTTTATCTTATGTTGTATAGCTTATGGTTTACATTTAGATCTATTTGGAGTAAATTTTTTTTAAATAAAGTGTGAGGTTTAAGTTATGGTTCTTTTTTTAAAAAAAATTTCATATTGTCAATGCCATTGGTTGAAAAGACTCCTCTTTCTCCATTAAATTGCTTTTGCACCTTTATAAGAATCATTTGGGCATATTTTTGTGAGTCTGTATCTGGATCGTGTTCTCTGAGTTATATGTCTATCCTTCCATACAGTTTTGGTTACTGTAGCTATATAATGAGTTATAATTGGGCTGCATGAATCCCCCAACCTTCTCTTATTTTTTACATGATTTTAATAATTCAACTTTTTTTTTTTTTTTGAGATGGAGTCTCCCTCTGTCGCCCAGGCTGGAGTGCAATAGCGCGATCTTGGCTCACTGCAACTTCCGCCTCCCGGGTTCAAGTGATTCTCCTGCCTCAGCCTCCCGAGTAGCTGAGAATACAGGCATGTGTCACTACTTCTGGATAATTTTGGTATTTTTAGTAGAGGTGGGGTTTCACCATATTGGCCAGGCTAGTCTTGAACTCCTGACCTCAGGTGATCTGCCCACCTCAGCCTTCCAAAGTGCTGGGATCACAGGCGTGAGCCACCGCGCCTGGCTATTTTTTTTGTGTATTTTCTTATATATTTTAGAAATACAATATAAATATTTACCAATATCAACCTGAATTTGATACAAATTGCATTGGAGGAAAATTGACATCTTTATTACGTTGTCTTCTGTTCCACAGACACGATATTTGTCTTCAATGGTTTAGGTCTATGATTTTTTATCAGCATAATTAAAAAATTTTTGGCATATAAGTTATGTAAATATTTTGTTGAAGTAACATCAACTTATTTATTTGTGGCGTTCTAAGTGGTATTATTTAGTGGTTTCTTATTTAATTTCTAAGTGGTTTCTTATTTAATTTCTAACTGTTTATTGCTAGTATACAAAGTAAGATTGATTTGTATTTTGACTTTGTGTCCTACAAAACCCTGATAAACTCCCTGATTGGTTCTCGTTGTTTCTATGTCCTTGGAGTTTTCTGACTAGACAATCGTATTATCTGCAACAAGGAACCTTTATTTCTTATTTTCCAACCCATATATGTTTTATTTCATTTTGTATTTATTTCGTTTTCTTGTTATTGCTCTGCTTAGAACTGTCAGTTTTTTGAAAAATAATTTACTTGTGGTTTTTTCTCTTTCTCTTTTCAGTTCTATCAGTGTTTTCTTCATGTAACTGAAGTTCTGTTTTTAGGTTCATAGACATTTATAATTGTTATCTCTGATGAATTACTCACTTGTCATTACTAAATAACTCTTCGCGCAATTTGCGATTCCTTTTTCCTCTGGAATCTCCAGCGTTTTATATCAATATAGCCATTCCATTAACTAGTTTTGGTTTTTAATTGGAATGCTTATCCTGTTTGCTGTTAATTTGATTATTGATAATTTAGAGTTTGTGTCTACCATGTTGCTGTATTTTCTTCTTATCCATTTTTTCTTAGTTTTTTCTTCTTTTTACTTTTTTTCTGCCTTTTAAAATGATTCTGTATTATCTGCTCTGTTGGCTTATTAGATATATCTTTCTCTCTCTCTCGTGTGTGTGTGTGTGTGTGGTGCATGCATGAGAGAGAGAGAGAGAAAGAGAAGTGGGGGAGAGAGAGAAATATGAGAGAGAAATTGCTTTAGATTTTCTAGTATCGGCCTTTACTTATCACAGCATACCTTCAGATACTGTTGTAATGCTTAAATCTTAAAAAACCTTTAAAATAAAAATTTTTACACCTACTTTTCTAGACATTGTGTTATTATTTTTATACATTTGTTTTTACATATGGTATAAGCACCACAACATATTGGTGTTATGTTTTAAATAAATTTAAAATTATAGAAAAATTATATTTATTCACTTATACAACATTTCAAATGTACTTTACTTCCTTTTAGACATACAGATTTCAATCTCATATCATTTTATTCTTCCGGAAAGACTTTTCCTAACATATTTTTAGTGTAGACCTATTGATGATAAATACTTGTGGTTTCTCTGTGTCTGGGATAATCTTTATTTTCACTTTTGTTTTTGAAAGATTGTTGGCAATTTCTTAAATTCAACGAAATGCTGCTCTATTGTATTTTGTTTTACCTGTTGTCATCCTTATATTTATTCTTCTATCCATAACATGTCTTTTTTCCCCTTTGAACAATTTCATGATGATATACTTTTATTAATTTTCTTCATGTTTCTTGTGCTTGGAGTTTGTTGAGATTCTTAGTTCTAGGGGCTTATAATTTTCATAACATTTAGAAAAATTATGTTATTATTTCTTCAGTTTTTTTTCTCTGCCCCTCTGCCTTCAACCTGCCAACTCTATTGGCTGTGTCCTAGACACTCTCTCCAGAGAGTAAGTGGAGACATTAATCCGTCTTATATTCTTTACTTTCTGTCTTTTAGGTATCACTATCCAGCATTGCCAGATACCTACTGTCTGAAAGCTATCAATGTATATGCTGTGTAAGTTTCTTTACATATTGTATTTTAAGAGGTAACTAAAGCATCACAGTCAGAAATAGTAGGGCTCCTAAACATTCAAAAAGGTTTACTCTAAAAGGTTCTTCTCAGGAATGACAGCATGTATAAAAATAGTTCATTAATGCATTCTTCTCAAACGTAATGCATTTTAGCCAACTTTACAGTGCAAAAACTAATTAATACTTAATCTCATGGTAAAGTGGTGACATGAAAATATACACTCATTTTTCAAAATTTTCACTGTCTTCTCAACATTTAAATGGCAAGTTGTTCCATGAATTACTTTTTGACCTTCTTTTCTGTCCTATGTACACTGCATCAATAACTCTATCTAGTTTGACAGCTTTAAAAATTCAGCTTTATAATGGTATCAAATGTATAGCTCTAGAACATTCTTTCTCATGAGCTTTTCAGACTCATATGCACAACTGTGTACTTAACATCTTCAACTGAATATAAAATACAGATTTCAAAATTCATTTAAAATAAAAAGAGAAAGAATAGAAAAAAGAAAGGAAGAAAAAGAGGGAGAAAAAAAGAAAAGGAAAAAAACAAACAACTTAGACCCTACATCTGGTCTCCTCCCTGCTTCTCCATCTTGATAAATGGCAAAACTATTCTTACAACTGCTTGGGTGAGAGGCGGTGAGAAGAAAACCTGTAGCTGTCTCCTCTTCCCTTTCCTCTAATCTCAAAGCATTTCTACTATATTTTCTAAGTACATATCTGATCATTTTTCCTCCCTATGCCAATACAGTCTTTTCCTGGACAATTTCAAGGATCTTTATATTGATTGACTGCGGTTTGCCTTGTTTCACTTTCCTCAAACATTCACTTCACTTCCTGAAGACTTCCTAAACTTCACTTTCTGAAGTTCGTTTCTCACCAGCAGCCAGATCATGTCTCTCTATTCCTCAACAAGCTCTCACCATTTGGTTATTCCTTACCATGAATTATAATTTCTGGCTTGCTCAAACAAAACTTATTTCAACCCACTCTTCCCTCAGCTTACTCCGTTTCAGAACAACTGAATTTATTTCACTTCATTAAGCAGTTTAATCTTGTTTTGAACTCAGGATTTTAACTTTTATATTTACTCTCTTATCTGCCTGGAATTCACTTTCCTTATATCTTCAAATAGATGTTTCACTGATATACTCCTTTCTTATTATGAACACCATTGGAATTGATAAGTTGACACTGCTGTCACTTCAAATATGTAATGCATTTTATTTTGTGAGAACAAAAAACTCATAATTTTGGATATGGAAATTTGAGATAAGAAGACTGAAGAAATAAATTATTCTTACAGAATCCACATTTATCTTATCTCTTTATCATGTTAATATGTATAAATCCTTTAATCAGAATAGTAATGCTAATAGTGAAAGTAGTTAGTAGATAATAAAATGCAATCATTTGTAACAACTTCAGTCACTCTAACCAGTGGAAATATTTAATTACACATGTGAAAGAATAAAAAGTTTTACCTATGAAAAGTAACAACACAAGTTAATCTACTTTGAATAATAAAAACAATGAAACTACTTTGTAAAATTATAAAACATTCAAAAAGTTCTCCATGATGATTTGTTTATAAATACATGCTTTAAAATAACTTTAACTTTTTATTGTGGAAAATTCAAACACATGCAAAAGAAAACAAATATAATTGCTGCGTAATTATCCTATGCATTGGTAAGCATCAATTCATGTCTAAAGATGTATTATCTAAACCTTACGTACTTCCAGAAAATATATAGTTTTTCTGTAAAAATTTTGATATGTATTTCTAAGTGATATGAATAGAATTCCTATCTTACAAAAATAGATTTCTTAAAAAATCTACAATGCCATTATCACATTCACATTAAAAACTAACATATATCATTAAATATGTAGTTATTGTTCATACATTTCTAGTTCTATGGAAGGTTCCATTATTTTCATCTGTTTGTTTGAGTTAAAATCCACATAAATAAAATCTATTGTAATTGGTTGTTGCACACACATGTGCACACAAACATACACATAAACAGGAACATGCACACACAGTATCTCATCGGCAAGTTTTTCCATCTCTTGCTTTTTATCTTGCAATTTATTTGTTGACAAAGCAAATTCTTTTATATTCTGGATTTTGTTGATTAAATCTTCATACTATTGGTTAGCACATTTCTCTGATATCTGAATTTCTGTAAATGGGTAGTTGAATCTGAAAGTTTTTATCAGATTCAGGCTTAACATTTGGATTGGCAGTTATTCACAAAGCATATTATGTTCCTCCATCAGATGGCATATCGTTTCTGATTTTCTCTTTTTTGTGATGTTAGCAGTTGTGATAATATCTGTACCCGTTTTTCTGATAGACTTATTAAAGTTAAATTAGTATGTCTTAAAAATGGTATATCATACTTCAGTGATAATATTTTTGGCAAGATCTTTTTATTTGTCAGAAGATCAAATGTACATATCAGTTTAGCCTTGACACAATTATTGTTAACTTTGGATGATAATTTATACCATCTATATTATATTTCAACAGTTTGCTTCTAATAAATGCATTTCCTTTGAGAACGTATTGTTTAATATGAAGGTGTATTATGAAATATAGTTGATTTAGAATACTCAAGTGAGTCAATATTTCAGAAACAATCAATTGAATATCTTTCACTTCATGGAGTTTAATATGGTATTAAGATAAATTTTAAAAACTTGGCCATTATATCAATAAAACATATATTCAAATAATTTTGTATTGTGTTTACAAAGCCAAAATTGATTAATTTGCCGTTAATATTATAGGGAATGTTAAACCTTTTAAAGCTGAATAAATCCTTTGAGATGAATTAGACCAAACACTTTAATTTTTTGTTGAAAATGCTTTAACTATGATTTTTCATGTTACCATTTCGGTGAGTGTTTGAGTTAACATAAGGGCATGTATCTCTATGTGTGACACTAAGCAGAACTATGAAGTAAAATATATCTGCCATGCATCTTAATCCCATTTTGTATACAGAAGCAGACCTTTTTTTCTACGCAAGGCCTCTGTGACATTACTTTAATACACACTATGCCCTCATTCTGTATCAACATGTCTTATATCACCACTGAAGCTTTTTATTTCTTTCTTGTTTTCTTAGTACTTTCATTCAATATTGTTCTATGTCACGAATATCCCAATGTACTGATATTATACACTTATAACTCAATATTGTTCAAAATTTTATTCTATAATAGGTAAAATGTATACTCTGTTCTACACAAGGTAATCTTTGGTTTTGTTAACAACAGACCATGTGATCTGCAGAGCATAAAGGGAGACCTCTATTTTCTATTAAAAAAAAAGCTGCAGATTAGGGAGACATAGCCTCTGTTTTACAAAAGTGAGTGTACTCCAAGGAGCAGGATGGAGAGTGAGAGATGATTAAAGCAAAAACCGGAAGGCAAGGGAGGGGATTCAGGGGAGTGAGGGACAGAGTTGTGACTGGACGACCATTAAGCCCCAAATCGCCAGTCTCTTTCTTAGTTGGCTGGTTCCAGGTGGTCTGTCAGTTGGCACCAGGTGGTCTGCTGGTGATCACTAGGGAAATTTCCAGCTGCAGTTGTTTCCAGAAATGGTTATTTGACTTGGTGGCAGAAAAACAAGTTTTACAACACTTTGTAGGACACACAGAACTTGACCATTCCTCGGCCCGCCATGGCCTCTTGGCTCTGCTCTTACTTTTGAGCCACAGGGAGTCCATCTTGCCTGTCAACTGGGGGCATAATTTGACAGTATGTAGGGCTTTATCCTTTAATTTTCTATTAGCATAAAAATATTTGATTAAACCATTCTCTGAATGTGGCATATTTATTATGCATCTTCATAAAATAATGCATATATTATTTGCCTTTAAAGAGAGTCCTCTAAATTAAAAATTTAAATTATATAACCCCATTCTAATTTCATTTTTGTGTTTACCAGATATTTTTATGTTTCTGTGGAATTTTTTTAAGTCTGTAATCTACTAGCTACTGTCAACAATTTAAGTGGCAGTCCTTCAGCTTTGCTTATGTAAGGAGCTATTATAATTAGCATTATGGGCAGTAAATTATACATTCTACTATCAGATTAATAATGGATGTTCTGCTAAACCAGGTGCTTTGGCTCTACTAAAAATACACCTGGCTTGCCAAGTAGAAAAAGCTACTGAGAAAGCTCATCTATCAAAACAAATGTCTCTGCATCTTGCTTGAGTAAATAATTGCTATGTGTTATAATTCTTTATACATGTATATGTTGAATTTTTATGTAACTGCCACAGTTAAGTTGTATATCATGGGTCTCCATCTTCTCAAAACATAAGTCGGTGAATGACTGACTTACAAACTTATGAAGATATAATGACTCCATTGACTCATGAGGTGAAGCTTACTTCATGGGGCTAAAAATGGAGGGAGGGAGGGGGAATTTAATGCAATGTTTTAAAGTGCAAACTGAGAGTGATCAGCTCAAATTTCTTTCGGTTATATGTAAGAATACATATTCCTAAAAATAATCAAGATCTACTGAATTCAAATCCATGAGGTGAGTTAAGGGATATACACATTGTTAAGTGGTCCTTGAGGGTTCAGGGATATATGCATTTTAAGTAGTTGATTACTTAACTACAGTTTGAGAATCACTGGCTTAGGTCTTCAAAGATTATATTTTTGAAATAGTTGGCAATTCAGTCTACAGCTCCTTTTTTTCTAGTCTCTTTTTGTAAATCACTAAATTGTCTACTTATCATGTAAGATTAAAAAATCTGTAGTCAAATATTTGAAACAAACTTGGAGGATCACTGTAATCCCAGTACTTTGAGAGGCCAAAAAGGGAGGATTGCTTGAGGTCAGGAGATTGAGGCTGCAATAAGCCATGATTGCATCACTGCACTCCAGCCTCGGTGTCAGAGTGATACACTGACTCAAAAAAGAAAAAAAAAATGACACTGGGAATATAGAAATATTTATTATACAGGGTTAGGCCAAAAAAAAAAAAAGTTTTTTTGTTATTGTTGTCTTGTAATTCTGAAGGCCTTAAAAGTGTTATTTTGGAGGCTCAACTATTAGTTTAAAAAACATACAAGGTAGCCTGTTGAAGGAAGCCAAATTATTTCACCCCAAAATATATTTTCCTGGCATAGTTCAAGGTGACTACTTACAAGGGCTTGGAATAAAAAGATAGCCAAAAAGCTGTCTTGCAGGATGAGATTTGCATCTGCAGGGGAAATCTGCATTGATGCCGTCAGGTTTTCTCTGAGGCCCACCTTTATCTGACCTAGGAAATATTAACTGAAAATCTGACATATTTAAAGTCTGGAAGAAACATTTCCCATCTTATTCTCTCAGAGGGCTTCTGCCTGCGAGCCTTCATCTGCTTAACAAGACCACCTTGGCTAGTCAGGACTGCTCTTCTCTCCCTCCCATAACCCAACTTATTGCCATAACCTGTTTTGGGCCATGCTCTGAGCCACCACTGATCATGTAACCAGAAGATGGTCTATAAGCTTCTGAACTTCACGGGTGCTTCGGGTAATCACTCTGTGAGTCTCTGCCATGCATCTTAATGTATTTCTATGCATGTTCTATTATTAATCTGCCTTTTGTCAGTGGTTCAGTGACCCTTCAGAGGGCAACGAGGAAGTTTTCCTTTGGCCCTTATATTATATTCATAAGAAAGGTGTAAATGACAATTATCTTTCAAAAAATTATAGATGAGTGAGACTGAAAGGGGAAAATTAACTTTTCCTCTTTATTTTTGATCTTTTAAAATAATTGCAGAAATAATATCAACTTGGGAGTTTATTGGGAGAAAGAGATAGGAGGATCATTTGAGCTCAGGAGCCTGGGCAACACAGGAAAAACCTGTCTCAAATAAAAAAAAAAAAAAATTAGCAAGACGTGGTGGTGCATGCCTCTGGTCCCAGCTACTTGGGAAGCTGAGGTGGGGGGATCACTTGAGCCCAGGAGTTTGAGGCTATGTGAGCTATGTGAGCTGCTAGAGTGCAGTGAGCTATGATTGCACCACTGCACTCTAGCCTGGGTGACAGACTGAGACCCTGTCTCAAAAAAAAAAAGACAATTATAGAATAGAAAAATAAGTTTTTGATGCATCTTGTTATTAATGGTTACATGTATCTACTATAATTTTGTAATTTTACATTGGTAATTTTACATCAACCATATTTAAATATTTATAACATTCCCATAATATAGGGAAGTTTTCTAATAAGTGAAGAATTTAGATAAATTGTCCAAGGGCACCCATTTGCAAGTAAAATACCTGAAGTAGAAATTGAGAAAATTTTTTATTTCAGGAGACATCTATTTACTACATTCTTCATGCTTCCCTTCCTCCCTTTCCTTCTCCCATTCTTTTATTTATTTGCTTTCGTTAATGAATTTACATTGTGACTATTATAAAGTTGCTTTGTGAACAAACCATTTGTGATTCTTCAAGCATTTTCAAGGAAAATAACATAAAAACCTATTCAAAAGTAAACTTACTATTTTCCAAGAGGTTTGGGTGTGACAAAACTTGGCTTCCTTTTTAATAAATAATAAAATATCTTTATTGATATGATTAGGCTTTCTGTCCCCTCCCAAATCTCATCTTAAATTGTAATCCTCACATGTCAAGGGAGAGATCAGATGTCGGTAATTGAATCATGGGGTGCTTTCCACATGCTGTTCTCATAATAGTGAGTGAGTTCACATGAGATCTGATGGTTTAATGAGGGGCTCTTCCATCTTTGCTCAGGACTTCTCCCTCCTGCTGCCTTGTGAGGAAGGTGCCTTGCTTCCCTTTTGCCTTCCACCATGATTGTAAGTTTCCTGAGGCCTCCCCAGCCATGCTGAACTGTGAGTCAACTAAACCTATTTTCTTTCTAAATTACCTGGTCTCGAGCAGTTCTTTATTGCAGTATGAATACAGATTAGTACATTTATGTAGTTACAAAAGCACATTATGCACCGTGAAAAAAATTAAAGGCTGAATACAAATCTTAAATTTTTACTCTAGGTGTAGCTCCTATGATCAATAGAGTGTTTATATTCCTTGCACTTTTTCATTGCCCTGCAATATATGTATATGTAGAAATATAAGGTTTCTTAGATGTGTGTTTAACACAAAATCATAGAGAACAATGTGTTGTTTTGCATCTTGTTTTTCATTTAAGTTGGAAACTTGAAACTTTGCAGAATAGTTCATGCAAGTATGCTTAATTCTTTCAACTCTTGCATAGAATTCTTAATATAAAAACAATATATTTAATTTAATGTTCACCAATTAAAAAATATTTAAATGTTCCTGATATCTTCTATTATAAACATTTCATAAATTTCTTGGTCATGTATGTTTTGTGTAAATGTGTAAAAATTATTAAAAATAAATGCCAAAAAGAGAATTTGGGATTAAAGTATGTGCATAATAAATGCTATACATTTTATGTTGGCCAATTTGCACTACAAGGAAAAATTATTAATTTTAGTTTTCACTTTCTATATTACTGAGGTAGTAAATTTCACAATACATTTTCACTTGCTAATTGTTTTATATTTTTAATGAAATACATTTTTGTTTATTTTACCAGTTTTAGGGTTGTCTTTTTCATTATTAGTGATCTGTTAGGAATTTTACTTATTTTGAAAATGAAATACTTGTTGCATTTGTGGTCCATACTTTTACCCATATTGTATTTTTCTTCATTGTTTTCTGTTGTATTTTTAAATTAATATATTTTTAATTAGTAAAATGTGTTAGTCTTCCTGTTCTATGGATTCTGGATTTTCTGTTTGGCTAAAAATTTCTCAAGATTTTAAAATATTCCCTACATTTTCTGTAATCTTATTTGAAGTTTCATGATTACTTAAAAACTATATTCTAATCCAGGCTTTTAGCAGGTTTCTGGTGAGCCAAAAAATAAAGACTTGCAACAAAATATAAAGGGTTCTCCTTTTTAACCTCTTCTTCTACTTGGTGCTAGTTTACTCTGGGGATCTCACTCTCGGTTACTTCCCATGTGTGGATAAAGAAGGCTCAGAGATGCAGCATTACACAACCCATCTAACTAGTGATCCCAGAAGAATGAGGACCCTCTCTACTCCATATAAATTTTGTATCAAATCTCAGTAAAACTTTCACAATTCTGCTTTGTTTTCCAAAACCCTCTCAGACTTTAGTACCAAAACTAAAAGGACAGAAAATTTTATAGGCAGCTTAAAAAATATATTCACTCTGAGACATGTGTTAATTGAGGGAAACTCAATAAAAGCTCCACTGCCCAAAGTTCACTATATGCAGTCAGAGGTGTAGATAAAGCAGACAGCTTGTTAGAAATGTCTCATATTTTAGTTGACTATGTTTAAATTTTATAGTAACATTTTATTATAAAGATAAAAAATGACCCTTGATCAAATATAAATGGGGGAAGATATTTTCAGACTATACTTCTCAAAGGCCTTTTTTGTGGTTCTAGTGGAGCAAGTGCATCAGCACCATGGAGAGCTCCGTGACAAAGCAGAGACAGCATTCCCTTAGTGCTACCATTTCTGTCTCCTTGTTTTCATCTCTTTAAAAAAATTCCCATCTTATTTGTGCATATTCTTCACCTTTTTCACTAGAGTTCTTAATGTATTTTTCATAGTTGTAAAACATTTTCTCTCTGATAGTTCCAACAACTAGGGCATATTTGTCTGGTTTCGTTGGTTACTTTCTTTATTGAGAGTGCTTACTATTCTTGTTTCTTTGTGGTTTTTTTTAATGACTTAGGATTAAAAGCTAGATATCTCACGTAAGCCAACAGAGACTGTGTTAAATCATATCAATGTCTGCCAATAGGCACATTTCTTTTTCTTCTAAGCCTTTGTTGTGGGATGTTGAGTCAACCTATTTAGGAGTTATCTGGGTTGGTTGTGTTGTTGTTATGGCTATGCTCACATACCATGGGCTTCAGATTCCTCCATAATTATCTTGTTCTTAATGTGGGAGTTAATTCTTCTCATGGTTTTACTGAATTTTGCTCCACCCTCAGTTTTAGGTGTTTTATCTGTGCTTGTGCCTCAGAAAATGTGTCTCTCGTGCTCTTGAGCCTCCCCAACAATGGATTGCTGTTGTTTGTTACTCAGTGCATGCCAGCTTTTGGATGGGGAGGGTGGGGTAATTTTCAGTTGTCTTGGTTTAGCATCAGACTTAGGTATCTTCTCAGTGATGCTGTCTCCATGCTAGTTATAGGGCATATCTGTGTACTGTTCCTACCCATCACTCAGGTGTAGAGTAAGATGCCTTCTCTTCCCTTCCCCTAGCTGCAATGGATCTTTACCTGTGCTCCAAACGCAACAGGGTTTACTCCTCTTGTCCCAATGTCTTCATGTCTTTTCTCATAGGGAGGAAATGATCAAGGATCATTCTGAGGTGGTGTCACTTTCCCACATAATATGAAAGGGGGAGGAGCATAGAGCTCTTCTTTTCCAAATTTGCACAAAGAATTCTTTCTCTGGTCTCTCATCCTGACTTCAGTCCTTCTCATAAGCATTCAATTGGATTCATGAAGAAGAGCCTATAAGTGCTAATGGCTCTTGGGTCTGTAGCCTCCAATGTTTATGTATCCCCACAATGGCCTACACGCATTTTAATAATTTATTGAAAATATTACTGTAGTTCTTCTTAAGAGTTTGTACATCAAATGACATCCACTGCAAGTTTCAAGTGCTTAAGACCTGAACCTCTTTAGAATTGTGTGTCTTTCCTTAGGCTTCAGACTAGTGAGTTGTTCTTTTACCTCAATTTTCTGAGAAGCCAGCAAAAGTTATTTTCTTACAGGTTAAAAGGTTTTCTTGTTCAAAATATAAAGAGGTGTCTTTTTCAGCCTCTTCTCTTTGGTGCTACTTTCCTCTTGTGATTTCATTCTCAGTTAGTTTCTGTATGTGGGTAAAGAAGACCCAGAGATGCAGTATTACATAACCCTTCAAAGTATTGGATCCAAGAGGAATAAGGACCCTCTCTACTCCATGTAAATTTTGTATCAACATCCCACACTGAAGGCCTAGAAGCAAAAGAAATGTGTCCATGTGCAGGCATTGATATTATTTAATTTAGTCTCTGTTGGCTAACATGAGATACCAGCTTTCAATCCAAAATCATTAAAAAAAACCACACACACACAAAGAAACAAGGACAGCAAGCACTCTCAATAAAGAAAGTAATCAACAAAACCAGACTCAATTATGCCCTAGCTACTGGAACTATCAGACAGAAAATTTATTTTAACTATTAAAAATACGTTAAAGACTTTAGTGAAAAGGGTGGAGAATATGTATCAATAAGATGGACATTTTATAACAGAGCTAAAAACAAGGAGACATAAATAGTGACACTAAGTGAATGTTACAGCTGCATGTTCATGGAGCTCTCCATGGTGCTGATTCACTTGCTCCCCGGAACCACTCAAAAGGCCTTAGAGGAGTACAGTCTGAAAATATCTTCCCCAGTTTATATTTTATAAAATGTTTTTTATCTTTATGATAAACTATTACAATGAAATTCAGACATAGTCAACTAAAATATGTGACATTTCTAACAACCTGTATACTTTATCTCCACCTCTCTCACTGTGGATCAGAAATCTGGTGCAGCTTGACAGGGAGACTCTAGCTCAAGGTCTGTTATAAGGATGCCATTGAGTTGTCAGCTGTGGCGGCAGTCATCACGAAGTTTGACTGGGAAAGGACCTGCTTCCAGGCTCCTTCCTGAATGTTAGAGGACTCAGGTCTTTGCTGACTTTTGATCTGAGATAACAGTTGATTGTCACATGAACTTCTCCATGGGGTAGCTACATCAAGGCAACTTACTTCTCTCAGAAGCAGAGAGAGAGCAATAGAATGCTGATATAATTGACATATCCTCTGTGTTGCATATTTTATACATTATCAGATATTCACTTGGTTAAACTTTCCCTTGAAAGGAAGAGATTACACAAGAGCATGACAATGGGAAAGTGGGATGCCTGAAGTTGAGAATTATGTATCCACCTGACTTCTTCTCCAAAGAAATAAACTTTTTCCTATGCAAAGCAAATTAATGTTTCTGTGCTGTGGAGTTTGACTGTCACCATTGTTTTAGTAAAAGATGTGCCTGAACCTTCTAGCCTCACTACTGTGCATCTTCACCTTTCTTTGAGCACATAAACGTCTTTACATTTTTTATCAACTTAAAAAGACTTTAAAAGCTTTAAAAAGTTTGACTATGAAAAGAAAAAGAGCTGTAGAGTTATGGCAATATGTCTCAGTCCATATGTTTACCTTGCATTCACTTATTTACCCATTCCAGTCTTACTCTTGTATCTAACTCTTCACTGAAAGTTTACTGAATAATGCTTTTGATGATTCTACCACCAAGTTCATTCAGCACTCTTCAATCCTGATTTTATTTAAATTTTTTTCTGGCATTTGACACTCGTAGTAACTTTTTTTCCCTTGAATTTATCTATGGGATTTACTAAGATCTTTACATTGGTTTAGGCAGGCATCAATTTATACCTGCATTCAGAAATGCTCAAGGTAAAACAAATTCAGCCATAATATGTGAAACAGAACATTGTGAGCTTAATTCTCAAGTCAACTGTGCAGTAAAGTGAATTGAAAACCATTATCTGAAGTTAATTTTGGCTGCTCTGCCTGAGGCCCCTCCCAAGGCTTATGTCTGAATATAGGTTGAATGTTCTACAATTCAGATGCCTTTTACGCTGTTCAGCTTTCATGGAAGGGTATTAATACCTTGTCAGCTCAACATGTGTCTGATGAGTGCCTTTTAATAATTTTCAAGCAGAGTATTGTCAGGGAGTATAATTTTGCATTTATTTTAATCTCTAAATATTTATCAAAATCTCAGTTTGGAGGAACAATATTGAGGAAATATTGATGAAAATATATGCAATCTATCCCCTCTTTTTGATATGCCCAGACACCAACACACTAACTCCTCCCAAACAAAAGAGATCTGTGCATGTATATCACATTATGTTGACCCATAAATACCTGTTATATATTGAGAAGACAATATAATATAGTAATCAAAAACTTGTACTTTGGAGTGAGACAGCCCTGGGTTTGAATCCAGTTCAACAAATTCTTAACTGGGCAATCATGTAAAATGCTATTTCATCTCACTAAACGTAAATGGAATGACAATAACACCCACCTGTATAAGTCAGCTTTCAATCCTAGTAAAAAATCACACTAGTAATATTCATTATACCTTCTCATCCAGCTGAGACTAACAGTTTTCCTAATAGTATCACTAGTATTAAAGTTCTCAGAAATCAGAAGCTTCTTTTATACATTTACACTTAGAAGTTTATCCTGTTACCACAAGGCCTAGTATCTGTTTATCAGTCAGTAAAATGTGTGTACTGCCATCTTCTCTGCCTTAGGAATACTTAGTACCTTTTACACATATGCCACCACTATATATATATATATATCATATTTATATATGATATATGTATATATTATACATTATATATAATCATATATATAATATATATAATTTATTTTATAGACTCTGGATTTTCTAAAATGTGTTTGTGAATATGAGTGTGCATGCATGAGCATCTCTCTACTTCACTTACCAGATGTATAAACTTCGGGGAATAGAAGGTGGTTTTCATTTTTTGTTTGTTTGTATTTTTGTTTTTGTGTTTTTGTTTGCTTTTTAGATTTTTATGGCCATTAATTAATACAATCACTGGTCATGAAAAAACATTGAAAAAGCAGTTGCTGGATGTACATATAAATAAGTAATTGATAAAATACAGTATGTCATAGCTTTATCTGGAGTCCTATCTTCTGTTTTATCAACATTTTATCAATAATTTTAATCAATCTATGGAAAATACCAAATTTGCAGATGACAGAGAACAGAATAACACATACATGATTAAAAGTTTAACTTTGAGTGGATGAAATAACGAGTTGGTACTTAAAACAGCAGATATAGTTAAATTTTTCAAATATTGTTAGAAACCTCTCTATACATGTACAAAATACAGATAATATAGATTAATGGACACACAAGTATATATGACTTTACGGTTTTTATGCTTAAAAAGATTTTATAAGACTTCTAGAAAGTTGCAGTAGTTGTATTTTCCCTACTCTTTCTGCTAAGTACAAATAAAAACCTTAGGCAATACATATGAAAATTATAAGAAGACTCTGAAAGGCAGAGAAAAAACAGGACTAAATAGAGACCTCTGGACCCAAGGAACTACAGGATAGTGAGATCCTTGTTTTTCTTTTTGTTTGTTTTTCTTTCTATATCATGAATTTAGAGCCAAAGAAACTGACAACTGGAAATACCAAAGGGTACAGACAAAACCTTTAGACAATAATTGCACTATACAGACAAATATTTCAGAAAAAATATAAGTCCCCCTATTTGTACCCATACCACAACAGACCTAGTAGGAAATTTAAGATTTCATGCTCTTCAGGCCAAAATTAGACACCCCAGAACTCTTACTAAGGTGGTATCAAAGAAATATAGTTATAAGTCCAGACCTTACATCCCTACCAGGCAATAGCCAGGCAAACCCATACCCCTCTGGAAAAGCAGTGACCACAGCGAGGAATACAGATTGCTACCTAAGCAGTGTTCTCAGGTTCCCTTCTCATGTCTTCCTCTTTTGGATGGTGTCAGAGGAAACATTGTAGAGTATCAGGACTTTCACCACAGCCCAGTAGTATTGATCACTCACACTTCCATTCAGTCTGTGGATTAAAAATAAGGAAGAGTACTAAGATAATCCCAACCAGATATATCACAGGAGGCTTAGAAGAGAGCCAGAACACCCACCATTACTCAGCATTTATGAGATGTTTTGTGGGTGTCAATACATGCCAAGTGAGGGGCCCTGATAGGGCAGTAATAATGGATCATCAGGAGTCAGGAGAATAAAACAGAAGGGCTAAAACATAGAGTCATGTTCAAAATGCTCAAGTTTCTATAAAATTACTTATCATACCGAGAACCAGGAAAACTCAAACTAACGAAAAACAAAATCAATAAATTCCCACCAAGATAGCACAGATGTTAAAATTTTTTGTAAAAATTTTAAAACATTTATTATAAAAGTGCTACAGTGAGCAATTACAAACATGTTTAAACACTGAAAAAGTAGAAAGATTCAGCAAATATGGAGTCTCAAAAAAGAAATAGAAGAAAAAGAGGAACATGAAATTGTAGAACAGAAAATTACAATAAGCAAAATAAAGTACACAGTTGATAGACAGAACTGCTGAATGGAGGAAAAGAAAGAGTTAATTTGAAAATAGGAATATTAAAATTATCCAAACAGAACAAAAGAGATAAAATGAGACAAGAGGAACAACGATAGCTACAGGGAAAATACACACAGATTAACAGGGCATCAAAAGCTATAGTATTAAACAATAAAACTAAAATTTTTGTCCCTGGATTTTCAGGAAGAAAAAAAAATGAACAAGGCTGAAAACATTATTCAAAAAAATAGATGACAGAAAGTCTCCCAAATTTGTGGAAAAAGATGTCTAGAAATTCAGAAAGTTTAACAAGCTGCAAACAGGATGAAGTCAAAGACATTTACACCAAAGCACATGATAATCAAACTTCTGAAAACTAAACACTAAGAAAAAATATTGAAAGAAGGGAAAGAGTAAAATGACATATTATCTGTAGGGGAAAAACAGTTCGAATGACAATGGATGTTTCATCAGAGACCAAGGAAGCCAGAAAGAAGTGTCTCAATATTTTTCATGTATTGAAAGAAAGCACATGTGCACATGCACACACACATACACATACAAACACACACACACAGATAAAAAGCACTGTCACGCCAGAATTTTATATTGAGAGAAAATATCCCTCAAAGTGGAGGAGAAAGACATTCTCAGATAAAGAATAAAGAACAAGACCGGGCGCTGTGGCTCACACCTGTAATCCCAGCACTTTGAGAGACCAAGGTGGGTGGATCACGAGGTCAGTTAATCGAGACCATCCTGGCTAACACGGTGAAACCCCGTCTCTACTAAAAATACAAAAATAATTGGTCAGGCGTGGTGGCGGACACCTGTAGTCCCAGCTACTCGGGAGGCTGAGGCAGGAGAATGGCGTGAACCCAGGAGGAGGAGCTTGCAGTGAGCCGAAATCGAGCCACTGCACTCCAGCCTGGGCGACAGAGGAGACTCCGTCTCAAAAAAAAAAAAAAAAAAAAAGAATAAAGAATAAAATTCAATTACAGGAGATTTACCTAAAAATAATGACTACAGAAAGTTCTCTAAACAGATAAAAATAATAATAAAGTATATTGAAACATGAGAAAAAATCACATTTCACAAAAATATAGGTAAATACAATAGACTTTTCTTGTCTTGAGAGAATTATGTTTGAAAGTTGAAGCAAAGTTATAACACTGTCCTATGTGGTTCTCAACGTAGGTATAGAAAATAATTATGATAATTATATGATACATGTTAAAGGGTAAAGGGGCATAAAGGGAAACAAGGCTTCTAAACTACTTACGAACTGGTAAAAAGTTGATGCCAGTAGACTGCAATAAGATAGAGCAACCACTAAAAAAAGAAACATGTCATACAAAGACACACTCAACAACACTGTAGACAGGTTTTATTAGTCTGCTTTGGCTGCCATAACAAAATATCATAGACTGGTTGACTTAAACAACAGAAATGTATTTTTTCACAATTTTAGGCGCTAGAAGTTCAAGGCCAAGTTTTCAGCAATTTAGAATCTGGTAATGGCTCTCTTCTTGGTTTGCAGATAGGAGCTCTGCCACTATGACCTAACATGGCCTTCTTTGGTGCATGTGTGTAGAGAGAGAACGAGCTCATTTGTCTCTCTTCTTATAAGAATACTAGTTCTGTCAGATCGGGACCCCACCCTTATGATATCATTCAACTTTAATTACATTTTTAAAAGTCCCATCTCCAAATACAATCACACACACTAGAAGTTAGGGATTCAACATACGAATTTGGTCAGGGTAGAACAAATATTCATTTTGTCACACATCTAAAAAACCTTGAAAAACAGGAGCAAAATAAACCCAAGACAAGCAGAATGATGGAAGTAATAAAGATAAGAACAGGAAGAAATGAAATTGAAAATAGAAAAAATGATGGAGAAAATCAATAAAAAATGGCTGGTTCTTTGCAAAGATCAATGTATTTTGCAAATTTCTTTCAAGACTGACAAAGAGGGAAAGACACAAGTTACTAATAGCAATAATGAAGGAGGAAAATCACAACAGACTACACAGACACTAAAATGATAATAAAACAATACTACAAAAGGCTCTGCATACAAAATTTGACAAGTTACACAAAATGGGCCAATCCCTAGAAAAGTACAAATTCCTACACTTCATCCAGTATAAAGGAAACTGAATAGTCCTATTAATTATTAAGAAAATTGACTTCGTGGTTAAAAACAACAATGAAAAGCCCTCTAAACCCAAATGATTTTCCTAAATAATTCTGCTGATTGTTCAAGGAAAAACCAATTCCTCATGATCTCTTCCAAGAAATCAAAGAGGAGAAAACATTTCCCAGTTTTTTTAATGAATCTAGAATTACCTAGATATCAAAACTAGAAAGAGATAGAAAAGGGGGAAAAGGAAGAAAGCTAATATCTGTCATGAATATAAAGTGCAAAGTTTGTAACAAAATATTAGCAAACAGAATTTACTAACTTAAAAAATAATTACACACCATGTCCAAATAAGTTGATTCCAGAGATGCAAAGCTGATTTGATATTGGAAATCATTCAAAATGATACACCATATTAAGATGTTAAAGAAGAAAAGCCATATGATTATGTCAATGAATGCCAACAAATTATTTGACAAAGTTCAACAATCATTACATGTAAAAACTCTGAGGAAAACAGCAAAGGCCATTATCTCAAGTCATAAGTATCTTCTACTTAGCTAATATTATACTTAATGGTAAACTGCTAAGTGCTTTCTCTCTAAAATTTGTAATGAGAAAAGGATATTCACTCTTACCACTATTATGCCACATCGTACTGAGGTTTCTAGCCGGTACAATAAGGCTACAAAAGAAAATAAAAACATTCAGATCACAAAGGAAAAATGAAATTGATTTATTTTTGCTGATGACCTAATGATCTATGTATAAAATCATTAGGAGTCTACAAATAAACTTCTATAAATAACAGTGGGTTCAGCAAGGTCAAAGAAGTAGTATAAACATACGAAATCAATTCTTTTTCTATATATTTGCCAGGAACACATGTTCACAAAAATAGAAAGTACGGTACTATTTACAATTACTGAAAACAATGAAATCTGAGGTGTAAGTCTCTCAAAACATGTACAAGATTGATATAGTAAAATATTTTAAAATTATAAGATTAATCAAAGCAGATTTAAATAACTGAAGAAACATATCTTAATTCATGGTATGGAAGATTCAATGTGGTAAATTTGCCAATTTTCTCCAAATTGAAAAGAAGTTGATCACAATTCCTATCAAAATCTCAGCAAGATTTTTAGTAGATATAAGCAATATAATTCTAAACTTTTTCTGTAAAGGCAAAGGAAGTAGAATTGCTAAAACAATTTTGGAAGGGAAAAATGGGGTGAAGGGACATCTCTACTCAGTTTCAGGACTAACTGTATAATAACAGTGATCAGGACTGTGGTGTTGACATAGAGATAGATACATAGATTTATCAAGTAGAATAGAGAAACCAGAAACAGATGGAGATATATATATATGTCACAACTGATTTTATACACAATCAGATGCAATTTAATGGAAGAAAGCTAGCCTTTGCAATAAATGGTGCTGGAGAAATTGGTCACCCATAGGCCAAAAAGAGAGAAAAAATAAGCTTAGCTTATGCTTAATATTTTATATAAAGTTAACTCAAAATGGTCTTTGATTTAAATGCAAAACGAGGAGCTATAATTTTCTTTTCAAAAAAATGAGAAAATTTTCAGGATCTAGAGCTAGGCAAAGAATTCCTTGACTTGATACCAAAAGCATTTTTATAACCCATAAAAAGAAGAATTGATAAATTGAACCTCATCAAAATTGAAACTTTCTACTCCACACCATGTAAAGAGAATAAAAATTCAAGTTAAAGGCAGAAGAAAATATTTTTAAGCAATATATTAATTAATAAACTAGTATTTAGAATACATTTAGAACTCAAAAAACTCAACAGTGAAAAAATAAATAATTCAGTGTTTCTTAAATGGGTAAAAGACCTGAAAAGACATTTTATCAAATAAGTTATACAGAAGGCAAATAAGTATGCAAAAAGAAGTTCAACATCACTAGCCTTTAGGAAATTTGATATTAAAAGCACAAGGAGTAACATCGGTAATCGCAGCACTTTGGGAGGCAGAGTCGGACAGATTGCTTGAGCTCAGGAGTTGGAGACAAACCTAGACAACATGGCAAAACCTTGTCTACCTAAAAAAAATACAAAAATACAAAAATTAGCTGAGCATGGTGGCCTGTACCTAGTCTCAACTACTTGGGAGGCTGAAGTGGGAGGATCACTTGAGCCTGGGCGGTTGAGGCTGCAGTGATCTGTGATTGCACCACTGCACTCCAGCCTGGGTGACAGAGTGAAACCCTGCCTCAAAATAAATAAACAAATAAATAAATAAATAAGTGAAAACATAAGGAGAGATTGTACACATCTATCAAAATAACTAAAATAAGAAAACAAAAACAGCGATACCAGTAAATGCCCACAAGGATGTGGAGCAATTGTATAACTAATATATCGGTGGTAGGAATGTAAAATGGTAAACCCATTATGCAAAATACTTAGCAGTTTCTTAAAAAATTAAACGTGCAACTATACTATGATCCAGCAAATGGACTACTCATCATTTATACTAGAGAAAGGACAACATATGTTGACACAAAATCCTATGCGTGAATATTCACCCAATTTTTATTTGTAATAGCCAAAAGCTGGAAAGAGCTTAGATGTCTTTCCATGAATGAATGGTTAAACAAACTGCGGTACACCTCCAGCAAGGTTTACAACTCTACCATTGAAAAGAAAAAATGAACTACTGATACATGCAACCATGTGGATTAAAATCCAGAGATGTATGCTGAGAGAAAAAAAGCCAATTGCAAAAGAAAACAAACTGTATGATTCCACTCACATAATATTTTTGAATCAACGAATTATACAAATCAAAGACAGATTATTGATTACTAAGGGCTATGAAGGGTATAGGTTTGGGAAGGCAGTGGGCAGGTCTATAAAAGGGCAAAATGAGGGATTCTCATGGTGAGAACCATATTCTGTGTGTTGACATCACCAATATCAATATCATGGCTATGATATCATACTATAGTTTTGCAAGACATTGCCATTGGAGGGAACTCAGTAATGAATCCACAAGATCTGCTGGGCGTGGTGGCTCACGCCTGTAATCCCAGCACTTTGGGAGGCCGAGGCAGGCGGATCACGAGGTCAGGAGATAGAGATCATCCTGGCTAACACGGTGAAACCCCATCTCTACTAAAAATACAAAAAATTAGCCCTGCGTGGTGGCGGGAGCCTGTTTTCCCAGCTTCTCGGGAGGCTGAGGAAGGAGAATGGCTTGAACCCGGGAGGTGGAGCTTGAAGTGAGCCAAGATCGCGCCACAGCACTCCAGCCGGGCGACAGAGCGAGACTCCGTCTCAAAATAAATAAATAAATAAATAAATAAGAATCCACAAGATCTCCATTATTCTTCCACATGTATGTAAATCTTAAATTACCTCAAAATAGAAATTTTAATTTGCAAAAAGGTTTAACAGAAAAAAGCAAAGGGAGAAAAACGTCCAGATTGGAAAGGAAGAAAGCACACCTATTCTCAGCTGATATGCTTTTAGATGTAAAAATCTCTAAAGAATTTTTAAAAGGCATTTGAACTAATAAGTTGAGCAAAACTTCAAGATAAAAAATCAATATAAAAATCAGTTGTATTTCTATACATAAGCAATGAAAATAAAACTTCACTGAAAATTAAAATTATTTAAATGAAATTTAATTTCATTACAATAGCATCAAAAACAATCAATACTAGGAAATAGTTTAACCAAAGAAGTGCAAGATTTGTTCACCAAATATGATAATATAGTCTCAGAAAAAAATTAAAGAGGACCTAAATAAATAGAAAGATACTTCTTGTTCTTGAAATGTATGTTTCAATGTTGTTAAGATGGCAATACCCTCAAATTGCTCTACAAATTCAATGTGACCATTAGAAATTTTCAACTGATTTTTCTTTTTGCAAAAAAGAACATATGTATTCTAAAATGTATATGAAAATTCAAAGGACCCAGAATAGACAAAACAATACTGAAAAAAAAGAACAAACTTAAAGGTCTCATAGTTCCCAATTTTAAAACTCACCACAAAGCAACAATTATCAAAAGAGTGTGGTGATGGCATATGTAGATAGATAGATAGATAGATAGATAGATAGATAGATAGATAGATAGATAGATAAAGTGGAATATAAATTCAACATCTATGATCAATTTATTTTTGACATGAGTGTCAAATGATTTAATGGGAAAATAATTGTCTTTCCAACAAATGGTGCTAGGGCAGCTTAATAATTCATTATCAAAAGAACAAATTTGAACCTCTGCTTCACAATCTATAAAAAATTAACTCAATATGATTCAAAGACCTAAATCTGAGTGTTAAAACTATATAAATCTTATGAGAAAACAGAGATAAACTTTTATGACCTGGAATTAGGCAGTGGTTTCTTAGCTGTAACAGCAGAAGGACAATAAATAAGTAAATAAGAAAATATTGACAAATTGAACTTCATCAAAATTAGAACCTTTTGTGCTTCAAAGAACACCATCAGGGAAGTTAAAGCCTCAAGGAACCACAAATAGCAAAACTTTACTGAAAAAGGAGAACAGACCTGGAGGACACAACTTCCTGACTCAAAATTTGCTACAAAGCTATGGTAATCAAAACAGCATGGTGCTTTCATAAATACAGGCACATAGACTAATAAAATAGAACAGAGATTCCAGAAATAAACCTTCACATATGTAGTCAAATTATTTTTAACAAGAGTGCCAAGTTCTGGGAAAACTGTCATACATGCAAAAGAATGAAGTTCAACACTAAATTAACACCATAGTCCATATTACACTATGGACTACTATCAAAAAATGGAAAACAACAAGTGTTGGTAAGTATGTGGAGAAATTAGAAGTTTTGTGTACATTGAGAATGTAAAATGGTACAGCCACTGCAGAAAGCAGTATGACAGTTCCTCAAAAAAATTAAAACATACTAGCCATATAATCCAACAATTCCTCTCCTGGTTATATACTGAAAATATTTGAAAGTAATATTTCATAGTGACATTTGTATACCATGTTCATAGCATCATTCACAGTTACTAAAATGTGGAGAAAACTCTAATGAATGATTGAATTGAAAAATGGAATATACATACAATGGTATATCATTTAGGCTTAAAAACGAAAGAAATTCTGACATATGCTACCACATTAATGAAACTTGAGTACATTATGCTAAGTGAAATAAGCAAGTCACAGAAAAGATATATACTGGATGATTTCACTCATATGAAGTATTTAGTGTAGTCAACATTATAAAGACATAAGGTAGAACTGTGGTTGCCAGGGCCTAGGCACTGGGGTAATGGGGTAATGGGTTAATGAGGAATTATTATTTAATGTGCAGAGAGTTTCAGTTTTGCAAGATGGAAAGAGTTATGGAGATTAATCATGGTGATAGTTGCACAATATTAAGATACTTAATACCACTGAACTGTATATTTAATAATGGTAAAGACAGTAAATTTTATGTTATGTGTATTCTTACACAATAAGAACTTGGGGAAAAAATGAAGACAAAATAAAAACTTTTTAAACAAATGACATTATATGACTCTGATCTGATGCAATAAAGAAAACACACCATAATCTCTATATATTCTTAGTAAAAATATTCTAAATAGTTTCATAAATAAAATATAAAAATTAAAATGTGGCTTATTCTGTGAAATCATTGGTGTGCATTCTTAAAAAAAAGCAATAGGGTCATTATAAAAAATAAAGTGTGGCTAACTTTCCAGATTAAATGAGACAAAATAAACATTAATGTCTAATGAGACATTAAGTGTCATGATGTCTACAATATGAAAACTTGTCAGCAAATGGTAAATATTTGGGTGATGTGTATATAAAAGCCCATTTCAATCTTCATTTATCTTTTCCCAGTTTAAATATTTTCAAAATCAGAATTTGGTGGGAAATTTTAAGATATTAAATATCTAGTGCAAAAGCATGAATATTTAAAATATATTTCTATTTGGAATAAGGGCTTAAATACAACATAAATAAAGTGATATTTTAAAAGTGTATCTTATGTATTGCATGCATTTCTGGTGGTATCTAATGACAAATAATAAGGTTATATTCTCATCAAGAGTTTTAATTCTATTCATGTCTTCTCTGAACGGTATTTTGTTGTTCAAAATAAATAAATTGAAAGAACATCCTATAACAGATTATATAAAAAAAGACCTTTTAATATATATGAATGTTATATATATATGTGTGTGTGTGTGTTTGTTTTATATGTATGTGTGTGTGTATGTATGTATATGTATATCATATCAGAAAAAAATTTGGTCACATGTTCAGGCAAATGTTTGATTTTGTTGACTAGTGATGGTGTTAAATCATTTTCAGATATTTTATGGCATGTAAATGTTGTTGCCCTGGGGCATCCAACTGATGCCATTGAAGCTTCCGAGCTTCAATGAAGGTGTGTTCATCCTGTAGAATTAGCAATTTATTGATTGAATGTAATTGTTAGCCACGGGATTATGGACTTGCAATCTAAGCATTTTTTAAAAGGAAGCACAGTTTATTAATTGCATTAGCGCCTGATTGGTCTTCTTGGTCATTTTAGTGTTTACGTAGTGGAGGTCTCAATTAAGCAAGAAAGGCTGTGAAAGAAATTTTCCTTTCTGTCACATATAACATTGTAAAAATAAAAAGTGATAAATAACATTGCATATAATAAAACCTATGGCCAGAATACCCCTCTGTCGATGCAAGAGTGGAATAATATTGGAGGGCTGGGTAATATTTGAGGTGTGAGATAATATTGGAATATTTAAGAAAAATGCGTAAGGAAGAAAGATCCCATCTTTCTTATTGTTTAGTACTCTCCATCTCACAGCACCTCATTGTTGAAACCACAGTATGACCTTATTGAGTGTGGCTATACAGAAGGAAGTCCTCACTTTAAATATTCAAAGTTTTTCTCTGTTTTTATTGTATATGAATAGCGTTAATATAGGAGTGGATAATACAGTCCCCCATAATATAATATGGGAGTCTTAATATGGGATCTCTGTTGGCCAAAGGTACAAAGTGAACTTCCTGGTTCATGGTTATATGGGAATCACAGCAGACCAAAAAATGGCAGGTGAAGACTATGTAGATAGACCCGAGGGCATCTGCAGTAACAAGAGCTGATGTAGAGCTGTCACATTCCAGGAGATGCCATAAATATGCACAATTAATACAAAAATAAGACTAATATAAAAAAAGTTTGGGCATTGGCATGAGATAAGCCACCAATGACAGCATGGGGTGATATAAGCAGGTATCAACTAAGAACAAAATCTGGACGAGTGATTTCTAATCAGAGGCTACTGAGGATATCACTTTTACTTGACCCCCATAAGGTCAAATAATTCACATGAGTCCGCTGTGAATCCACTTCATATCTTGGAGATCAGCAATAAAGTACGTATGGAAAATTCTCTTTTAAAAGAACATTTTATCTAATAGAAACTGCATTACTTATGGGTATATAAAAATTATTAAATTAGAATGACTTTTCTGGATTTTAACAAATCCCCATCTCTCTCATCACAGTGAGGATTTTTAATGGAGAAGAATGACTTAAAAGGAAATAAAACAAGGAAGGAATAAAATGAGTTAACTTTATATCTGAATATAGTATCAGTAAATTTGAGACCACACATAAACAATGTAAAGTGTGTATAAGATAGAAAAAACTATACTAAAGAGATATAAATTATCTCTATGGAAAGATCGAGGTAAATTTTATACGCGCACACACACACACGCACACACACACACAAACCACTTGAATAATATTATTGAATGAACATTCATTAGATGCCACTAACTAGGGGGAACATTATACAAAGTAACCAGGATGTCCAATGTCACTGTATCATTATATATTCTAGAGGTTTGGGAGAAACAAGAGGTTTTAGAATCACATAAGTTTGAAGTGCAAATAAAAGGATGATGAAAGATTGGACTTGAGAAATAGAAAGAATTAGGTCATGGATTGTCTACTAAAATGTTTTTTTCTATGATTTGATATGTGTTTTTGCTTGATCGCTCTCTTAGCAGTATGAAAAATTCATGTAAAGGTGGAAGATACATTGAGCAGAGAGATTACTTATGAAATATTTGTAGTAATCCTGGAGATTCAAGATGAAGATCTGCTGAAAGTAAATTGTTAATGGCAGGAATCCATAGGTGAAAAGAAATTTGAAAAATACTTGAGAGTGAAATTGATAGTATTCAGTAAATGGTTGGCCAAGGTTACTGAGGGAAAAAGTGAAGAGCTGGACTCATCCTTAAATATATATATTTATAATTGGGTGAGCACTGGTGCCATGTTTAAAGTTAGAGAAAGCAGGGGTGAAGTGGGTTTGAGTCAGGGATCAAAAAGAGGAAATGATGAGCTCAGTTTTTGAGTTGAATTCATTTTCACTAGCACATCAAAGAGGAAATGTCTTAAAACAAATATTCTCTTCAGAAACTCAAAAATAGAGATTTGAATGTGCTGGTCAGTGACTTACCTATCTACCATCCTCTTGTGCTTCTAAGCTGTCTGAGGAAGATTAATATTTCATTAATCTTTGAAACACTAAATGACTGAAATGTCACGTTATAAGTAGTAGGAAGTAGTAGGTTCTCATGATTTCTTTTTATCTTTTTTTTTTTTTTTTTTTTTAGATGGTGTCTCACTCTTTTGCCAGACTGGAGTGCAGTGGCACGATCTCAGCTCACTGCAACCTCTGCCTACTGGCTTCAAGCGATTCTCCTGCCTCAGCTTCCCGAGTAGCTGGGACTACAAGTGTGCACCACCACGCCCAGCTAATTTTTGTATTTTTAGTAGAGACGGAGTTTCACCATGTTGGGCAGGATGGTCTCAATCTCTTGACCTCGTGATCTGCCCGCCTTGGCTTCCCAAAGTGCTGTGATTATAGGCGTGAGCCACCGCACCCGGCCATGATTTCTTTCTTAATCAAAGAAATAAGTGAGGATGAACTCAAGCTGTCTGATAAATCTTTGTGACATTCCTATACTTTCTGTTTTGTAGAACTTGGGAAAACTTAAAGTTTTATATTTGCACTGAATGCTTACACACCTATTAATCTATTTGAGTGAGATATTTATGATTCCCCAGTTATAATATTAAAGGTAAACTCAAGGGAAAACTAGAACCACTCTTCTTTTTAGTCCTTGGCAGCAGGTAGACTTACGAACACTTATTTATTTGCAAAAAGAAAGTTTGCATTCCTTCCATTATATTAAAACTAATGTAGATATTTATATGATTTCGAGGAAACTAAACATCAGGATTTGGATTCTGTTTTAGCTGGGACAAGACGTGAAATAAATATTGAAATTATTATAATATCCATCTTTTCTGAATGGGCTACATTGAGAAAATTTTTTTTCATTCATTTCGATTAACTAACAGTCTTACCAGAAATGGAATGTGATGGCAAATACATCAGTATACTCAACTCAAATCTTTAATATTACTCTTTACACAAATAGTTTGTAATGTCAAAAAAAAAAAACACTTTCGTGACATGAACTAAAAAGAATAACAAAAGCACTAAAATGAAAGCCATCATTCCACTGAGTTAGACAGAAATTCATTGAACTGGTTAGGATTCTGTCTGAAATAACTGCACTCAATTTGTTAATAGGTCTGTGAGTTCTTTTATAGGCTGTAAATTTTAAAACTGTTCCACTGACAGTTTGACATTCACGAAACTAGCTCTAGTTCTATCAACTCACTGCATGAATTGTAAATTTACATTTGGCAAGCAACAGAAATTACTTTACCTCCAGTGAGTATTCTGAAATGTAATTTAAAATATGGTGTTTAGTCTTCTGTTTGTTAATAGCGTCTACTGAGAAATAACTTATATTGAGAAGCCAAACAACTGGAATTTATTTCATGCTTTATAATTTTATGTGAAACAAATGATAATAAACAGACTGATAGCACGACTATATTCACAAAAGCAACTTAGAGATTACAGTCAGTATAAATACTATATTAATAATCGTATTTTTTACAGTAAGATACTTGATGTATATAGAATAAATCCATACTTATTAAAGATAACATATTAAACTCTCAGAAGAAGAGCTTATTTGCAAAGTTTAGATTCTGGAGCTTAACTGCTAGAATTTCAATCATTAGTATTCACCATAGTTGTAATATTAAATGCAGATTGTGTTAATCTAGCTACAAAAGAAACAGGAACCCTACACATTAGGGTGTTGGTTAATTCTCTTTTCATTACAAATATCTATTTAATTGTACAATATAAACTTTTAAAGAGCTGCTTATTATTCTCCCCATTTTATAGATGAGAAAACTAACACATTCAGTGGTGAAGAAACATGCCTAAGTTTACCAACCAGTAACTATTAAACTCATGTTATCAAACTAGTTAATTCTCCACAGATGCCAAGGATATTTATTCTATTAAGAATTCTGTTATAAATGTATTGCTGTAGAAGAAAAAATATCTTAGGATGATCTAGCAGTCTTATTGGAGTCACTAAAAGAAGATTACAGTATCTAACTTTTAAGAGAATATAATCTGAATTGATAATTATAAATTTCATTTCTTTACCTAAAGATATCACCAAAATATGTTTTGGACTCTTAGCTGACTATACATTAAATGCAGAGTTCACTTAGGCCCCATGTACTAGAAAATATCATGTCATTCTAGATAGTCATTGTCATTATTATTCTTAGAGTTTACCTAATAGTTGTTTAAAAATATGTAACCTTGCATTTTTAACCTTCTTTTATTGGAGTTAATAAGTGGGGGTTTGGGGTTCATTGCACTGATGTAGCTCTCCCTCCCGGATCATTTGTCAAAACTCTTATGTGTATTTATTACTTATACGTGTAAATGAATATTTCTGTGGCCAGCCAGCCATGGAATACATGTCCAGCCTGTAGGTTCTCTATGGTTGTTTAGTAAATCTTAACACATGTTTTTGTTTACTTGTTTGTTTTAGTTTCCTACAGTTGCTTTGAATCATGGACTTGCTTATGCTTCACAAATTGAGAGATGAAAACTTTATAGTAAAATATCTGTATTGCTTCCCTATAACAATTATTCTAGAATTTCAAAATGCCTTTTTGTACTTTTCTTATATCTGACTTAATCTTATTTCTTACATCCTCTTCCTTTGGCTTTAATGTCTACTTAATCAATATCTTTGATATCTATTTTCGATCATGGTAATGAATGAGTTTTTTAATTTGTATAAATAAAGACTGGTATTTACATGTGTATTGCAAATAAGGAAACAAAGCAAAGCAAATCAGAGGATACATTTTAGGGTATTTAAGTTTCAGAGTCAGGGCCAAAGGAAGTTTAACTAAAACAGATATAATAAAAATTGGCATATCCTAAGACCATCAATGGTGATATATTTAGTAATACTTACTAAATACTTAACTATGCATACTTATCGGCACAGTATATTTATAATAAAAGATGAATGAAATTTCTGAATTTGAAATACTTACTATTTAGAAGAGTATTTGTAACCTTATTAAAGATATATTTGCATGATTTGAATGCTTTTCTTATGGCAGGCAGGAATAAAAGCTGTGAATAAAGTCTGAAAAGCATAATGACTGACTCTAACACATACAGGATACTACGTTACAGGACCACAGCAGAGAGGAATGATGGAAGCAGGTATGTGAATGGAACCTGATGTGGAAGGCACTGGCAACCTCTCTCCATAAAATTAAAATGTATACCATCTCAAGTGCTGTGGATTGCTGATTATTGAGCAACTACTGTGAATCACTGACTCAGAGCTCTGATTTAGTTGTTGCTGTTATTGTTTGTCTTTTTGTTGTGCATGCTGAAATACTTCCATATCCAACTGCTTTGAGGCATAAGTAGTAATCCTTGCTAGTGTGACATATTTTTTTCTATTTGTAAACGTGATATTGAAGTATCATAAACCATGCAGAGAGGCACACAAATCATAGGTGTTGTCTTCAATGAATTTTCACCAACTGAATGTTTCCATGTAACTAGCATTTAGATTTTTAAAAAGAAAACATAAACAGGACCACAGTTAACTGCTTTGCCTTTTTAGGACACTAAACCCTCTAAGGAGAATCCGACTGACTTCTAGCACCATAGACACATTTTACCAGGTTCTGGATTTTATATAAATAAACTTATACAGCATATACTCTTATTTCTACTTCTCTTATTCAACATGGTGATTTTCAGTTTCATCCATATTATCTTATATATAGTTTCAAATAATTCATTCTCAATGTTCACAATGGAACTTTCTGCAGAATTGGAGTACTTCTATATCTGACCTGCTATATTGATGCTGTAATATAACAGTAGCCATTATTCACATACGGGTACTTAGTACTTAAAATATGATTAGTGCAAATGAGCAGCTAGGCATTCCAAACAATATACCATTCATTCTTATGTAGAATACTATTTGGGTAGTTTCATGTTTATACTGTTTGGAATGCTATTGTTCTGCATTATATTTATATGTCTTTTTGTTTTGAGACGGTCTCATTCTGTCATTCAGGCTGGAGTGCTGGACGCGATCTCGGCTCTGAAAGATTCTCCCCGGGGCCTGAAAGCTTAAGGGAATGGATAACTGCCCCCTCCTCAGGACCAGTCCCAAGGCGCAAGACCACTTGTGCCAGCAGAGTGAGTCAGCAAGATAGCAGAAGCAGGAAGAGCTGGATAGCAGAAGCAGGAAGATACATACCCCCTGAAGATCCAGAGGGAGGCTGTCCGGGTACTACGTAGCAGTCACGTCAGACTGGGACACTTCCTGTTTACAGTGGACTATGAAACCCATGTCCCGTCCTCACTTGGGGCTGATGCCCTTTTAGACCCCAGCGCGCCTGCACCCAGGCGCTCATGAAAACAGCGTGTTGCTCCACATTGCCTCGTGTTGTTTGTTGGCGCACTCTCGGGGTTCGAATTGATACAAGAAACTTGCAGGCTTACTGCAACCTCTGCCTCCCAGATTCAAGTGATTTTCCTGTCTCAGCCTCCCGAGTAGCTGGGATTGCAGGTGTGCACCACCACGCCAAGCTAATTTTGTATTTTTATTAGAGACAGGCATAAATAATAAAACATAATAAAATTTTGTATTTTATTATAGAGATTCTATAATAAAAATTATAGAATCTAATAATTTTTATTAGATTCACCATGTTGACCATGTTGACCAGGCTGATCTCGAACTCCTGACCTCAGGTGATCCTCCCTCCTTGGCCTCCCAATGTGTTGGGATTACAGGCGTGAGCCACTGCACCCGGCCTATTTTTATATTTCTTTTGGGGAAAATATGTATATATTTCCATTAAGTACTTATGTAGCCGTCATATTGCAACTTTGAACTTTAACAGATTCTGTCAAATAATTTTTCAAATTGGTTGCACCAAATTATCCTCTTAACAGCAAGGTATGTGTGCTCCATCTAGTTACTCCACATTCACCTTAACTATATTGTCTGTCTCTCAATTTTACATTTTGGTAGATATTCAATATAGCAATTGTGATTTTTACTTCCATTTTTCTTATTACTCAAGAAAGGGAACATCTTTTCATACATTGTGAGAATGGCAGTTCACCAATATGATCTTCCTCCCAAACACGCATAACCCAATGTATCAGAAAAATCCAATTGAGTGGCATTCTAGAAAAAAGCTGACCAGTACTTTTCACACTTTGAAAGAAATGAAAATCATGAAAAGTCTGAGAATCTGTCACTGTCAAGGGAAGCTTAAGCTACACGACCACTAAACGTAATGTGGTTTGCTGAACGGGAACTTTGACAGAAAAAGTACAGCAAGTAAACATGAAGACATTCTGAATAAGACATAGACTTTAGTTACAAATAATGTATCCCATCAGTTCATTAGTTGTAGTGAATACACCATATTAATGTAATATGTCAATAATACAAGAATCTTAGTGTAGGTTATATGGAAATTCTCTGTACTATCATCACAAATTCTCTCTCAATCTACAACTGTCCTAAAATGAAAACTTTAAACATATACACCTAGAATGTATGTTTTTGCATCTCTTTTGACTGTCCAGAATCATGCTCTTAAATCTTAATAAACAACATTAAAATACTAATAAAGATATTGGTCAATCTTAGAGTAGAAATTGAAGTTTCATATCTATACATGTTTAAAAGAATGAATTTTTTTTTCAAAATTCAGTGTAAAAGGTCACTAAATTCTTAAAGGTGACTTTTGTAGACTCTGAACGAGAGACTGAAAGGAACATAGATTTCTAAACCGCCTCACAGCACTGATACCCCATGATTGACTTACTGTGACAAATAGTAAATTAGATTTTTTTTTAAAGACCACAATGCCACAGTGACTAGTTTTTCTGCCCCAAGCATGCAGTAGGTAAAAGAAGCCAAATATGTCATTTTGAGAAGGAAGCATCACTTTGATTTTATCAACACATGAGATTAATTTCAGTAGAGCTGATCTCCATGAATATATTTCCCTTCTGACATTGCCAAGGTCAATGGAATTTTAACTTGCTGGTGCATTTGTACTGGTTACACAGCTTAAGCCTTCGTAGAGCAAATATAACTCACCATCTATCAAGTTTGCTTTTTAAAGTTCAAGTTGAGTATTTCTATTTCTGGCTCAGCCTTTACATGCTCTGCTGGTTTTTTCTCTGTGCCATATTCCTTGGCTTCTTTTATGTACCTAAGACCTCAGATTATATTGATTAAGGTTTCTTAGTGAACACCAAAAATAAAAAAAGAAAAAGGAAAAAAAGATTATTGGATTTAAAGTGATAATTACTCCTGACCACTGAGCTTGCAAGCATAAACTAGGGTTGATGTTTATTGTAATTAGAATTATGCGGTGATGAGAAAATTCAGTGTTATGTGTATATATGTGGAAGAATGGGTAATTTGATGGCCTTTTTAGACTATGTGACTTATGTGATTGTTCCAGGCACATTTTGAAATGAATGACTTCAAGCAATCCACAAAGTAGAATAATGTACACAGATAAAAAATAAAAATAATGAATTTATGCATCTTAAATCATTTGGTTTTAAACTAAATCTGTCAACTCTAGACATTTATCCTTACAGATTTGATCCATTTGAAACACCTTTTAAGTTTTAGCAATTTATCATTTTTCTTAATGAAGAACTCCATCGAAGCTGTTCCTCTCAATTTCCCAGTTCTAATACTCCCAGTTAAAGTAAACAACCCTGCACTTTGACAAATGAAAGTTCTGCTGTATATTTCAAAAAGTAAAACACAACCAAGCACACCTGCTCGGGTATACTAAGGCATAAATATGATTTTACTTTTAGTGAAAAACTCACCTCTTGTTTAATGAGTGAATTTCTTTTTTTAGTTTAACTTTTATTTTAAGTTCATGGGTACATATGCATTTTTGTTACGTAGTTAAACTTGTGTCATGGGGTTCTGTTGTACAGACTATTTTGACAGCCAGATATTAAGCCTAGTACCCCCCCCCCTTTTTCTAATCCTCTCCCTCCTCCCACCCTCCAGTGGGAGGCCTCAGTGTCTTTTTTTTTCTTTTATTTGTCCATAAGTTCTCATCGTTTAGCTCCCACTTATAAGTGAGAAGATGCAGTATTTGGTTTTCTGTTCCTGCATTAGTTTGTTAAGGATAACGACCTCCAGCTCCATCCATGTTCCTGCAAAGGACATGAACTTGTTGTTTTTTATGGCTGCATAGTATTCCATGGTGTATATGTACCACATTTTCTTTTTCCAGTTTTCCTTTGATAAGCATTTAGGTTGATTCCATGTCTTTGCTATTGTAAATGGTGCTGCAATGAACGTATGCCTGCATTTCTTTATGATAGAATGATTTACATTCCTTTGGGGATGTACCCAGTAATGGGAATTCTGAGTCAAATGGTGTTTCTGTTTTAGGTTAGGTCTTTGAAGTAATCGCCACACTGTTTCTCATAATGGTTAAACTAATTTATAATCCCACCAACAGTGTATAACCGTTCTTTTTTCTCCACAACCTCACCGGCATCTGTTATTTTTTGACTTTTTAGTAATAGTCATTCTAACTGCTGTGAGATGGTATCTGATTGTGGTTTTGATTTGCATTTCTCTAATAATCAGTGATGTTGAGCTTTTTATATATGCTTGTTGGTGGCATGTATGTCTTCCTTTGTAAAATGTCTGTTCATGTTCTTTGTTCACTTTTTAATGGGGTAATTTGTTTTTTCTTGTAACTTTGTTTAAGTTCTTTTGAACATTCTGTTTGTTTCTGCACAAAGAGGGCAGAAACTCTTTAATTAAATCCCGTTTCTCAATTTTTGCTTTTGCTGCAGTTGCTTTTTGTGTCTTTGTCATGAAATCTTTGCTATTCCTAAGTCCAGAATGGTATTGCCTAGGTTGTCTTCCAGTGTTTTTATAATTGTGGATTTTACATTTAAGTCTTTCTTCCATCTTGAGTTAATTTTTGTATCTGGTGTAAGGAAAGGATCCAGTTTCAATCTTCTTCATATGGCTAGCCAGTTATCCCAGCGCTATTTGTTGAATAGAGTGTCCTTTTCCCATTGCTTGTTTTTGTCAGTTTGTTGAAAATCAGACAGTTGTAGGTGTGCAGGCTTGTGTCTGGGCTCTCTTCTCTTCCATTGGTCTGTGTATCTGTTTTTGTACCACAATAGGCTTTTCCTTCTTAAGTTACATGATAAGCAACTTGCCACCTGGCAACATTTGGAGATGATGATATTTGTATAAACATAAATGTAAAATTTTTAAAATGGGAATTTCACAGTATTGAAGACAATAATATTAAAGAGATTCATCAGGGAAATAATTTGTCTATTTCATGGTTTCTTTCAAAATGTCTAACATCACTTTTTTTTAATTCTAGTAACAGAATCTATGTTTATTTTGGGGATAGTTCCTCCCTCACTTGATGTGGTCAAGTGAGGCCTTCAGCATAAGAAACACAGCGGTAGAATTATGAGCCAGGTCAACCAGTATCTGCCAGCCCTGTGGGCATGGTTTTTGGTTGAGAAAAGGGCATATGACACAAACTGGGACAGTCAGATTTGTTTTACTGAATTGAAAGGACACAGAAAGATGACATTTTCTTTTAAAGATTGTTAAGAGTAAAGATACATTTTAGCCTAAACCTTCTGGTGTTTATTTGTTCCACCATATAGAAACATCCTTCAAGAGAACGGAGTCTGCCCATAAGAGCATGGAGCCAAAATACAGACAGGTATATTCCTGAAAATATTTCTGACTGCTTTTCTCAAGCCTTACCTAAAGCTACTTATAGCTTGACCTTCTCAGTTAGACTCTGAACACTTTGCATTTGATTCCTGTCCCTTTCATTGAAACATAAGAGAATAATATGCAAAAGCATACATACATAGCTATTTCCTTGATCTATGTTCCCTTTTGATTTCTGGCCAACATTGTTTATAGCAGTTGCAATGGACTGAATGTTTATATGTCCTCAAAATTTATATGTTGAAATCCTAACCCTCAAGGTTTTTAAGAGGTGGGGCCTCTGAGAGGTGATTAGGTCCTGAAGGTGGAGTTCTAATAAATGACATTATTGCCCTGATTACAGAGACCCCAGAGAGATCCTGTGCCCCTTCGTCCATGTGAGAACAGAGTGAGAAGAAGGCCATCTGTGAGGAATTGGGTCCTCACCAGACCCAATCTGCCTGAGCCGTGACCTTACACCGAATCTGCCTGAGCCGTGACCTTACACTTTCCAGCCTCCAGAACTGTGAGAAATAAACTTCTGTTTTTTTGTAAGCCACTCAGTCTGTGGGGTTATACTATAGCAGGCTAGCCTGAACTAAAACAGCAGTCCATGATAAATACCACATATAAATTAGGAAAAAGGGACCGACAATGCTTAAAACATCTTGCTAAATACACAACAACCTTAAGCTTTTTAGGAAGTCACAACTATGAGAAAAGTCACTTCTAGCATGGGTTTCAGTAAGGTGATTTTGCTTTGTGACAATGGAATCCTTGAAAAAATAGAATTAAAAAAAAAAAACCCAAATTTTTCTACAGATATTATCCTTTGATTGCTTGTGTATCAGAAAAACACTAATTGGTCTTTTTGGGAATACAATTAAGAAATTAAAATGTATACATGCCAAATCAGTAAAATCTAAAAGAGCGGAATTGAAGAATTTTGCCATTAATCTGCATTTAGCCCTATTTTTCATCCAAAGAGTAATGACCTCATTTTATCAATGTCAAGTTTTAATGCCTTCCTTTTATGGCAGGGGCTCTATTTTCTTTCACCTGGTACACTTTTAAATTTCACAATTAGAGAGCAGCATTTATTAAGTGTTAATTAAGTTTGATTAATATGTATGAATATTTTCCTCCTATTACTGGAAGAAATTTTTCGAATTTATTTCAGTAGATGACATGCCAGTCTAATATAAAAATCAGACTTTTAATTTTGAAATTTTGGCACATTTTGCTTTGTGGAATATTCCAGTGAATCAAATAATTTCATGTGGTATATAAGCTTAATGGCATTGGAAACTGCAGGGCCTTGGCTTGTTTTAAATCAGAATTAGACATGTGCCAACCTGTCACAACTCCTATGTACAAAGTACACTATAGTTCTTCACACCCTTTTGAGTTCATATCAATCATTTGAAAATAACATTTTTCCCTCAGAATGAGCTGTCACTATCAATTTGAATAGTGGCTGTTGCGCTGGAATTTATCCAAATTTTCAGCAAGCAATTTGGTTCATTATATCACAAACCAAATGACTCGCAAAGCCATATTTTTTCATACTGTTTTAAAGCAAATACAGTATTATCTCTGCACAAATTTCAGTAATAATTAAGATATTTTAATGCAAATATCTATTTAGATTTCTATTTTTTCCTGTTTCGTTAGTATTTCTGATTCACTCTGATTCACTTCAATTAAAAGCCATTTTTCTCAGTTGCAAATGTGTTTGATTCAGTGGTACTCTAGTTCTGGTTATATGTGATTACCAAAATGCAAACAAATTTTTGTGATGTCCTGTTCCTGTTCCTGTTAGAAAACTGTAAAACACTAAATGTTATTCAATAAAGATCATGCTCAAAGTAAAATAATACTTGTGAAACACACATCTGAATAAAAAGGGTTTTTCTCATTTTAGCCAGTTACCATACTTGGCATTTCATAACAGTCCTGTGATTCTAGGATGTTACTTGTACTGATATGTCACTAACTGTGACACAATCTTTTTCATGGGACCCACAATGTAAAATCAGCTGCATTTTTTTCCTAGAGGAAAACATCTACTGCCCTTCTGTCCTTGGGTTTTTGTTTCATTTTATTTCGAAATCAATACATAAGCGTTTGTATTTCAGGAGATAAATTATTTATTTTTTCAACCACAGAGATTTCCATTTGTATAAGCTATCAATTCCAATTAAGTTTGTATTATTAACTCAAATAAGCTTTATAAACTTTTAGGTAAGACCTATTCATAGAGGATTACTGCAATGAAATCAAATAAACTTTGCAGAAAACATATTTCATAATTTCCAGCAAAATTAATACCTGAGAAAATATTGTTGATGTAGAAAATATGAAGTCCAAATTGGGGCATTCAGTTTTGATTCCTAGGTTTCAAATTACTTTGCCACTTTGAGTTTACTTTATGTTATATATTAGATAACATGAGGCTAAAACACTAAACTGCCTATATCACTAGGAAGTTGTAAAAGTAACACAAAGTAACAGGTGTAAAAGGAATTTGAGGTATTGGAAGTGTCACACTGCAGGAAGTACAGAGACATCACCTGTTACAATGGTGCTAGAAAATCCAACTTAATTTTACCTACATTTTTAAATGATGTCTGAAAACACCTTTTGCAGCACATTTACTTCTGTCTATCTTTTAACAAAACCAAAAACCTCAGAATTTATTTGTTGATTCTCCTGTCTAACCAATCAATTCTTGGTAGTCACTCTTCTACCCTTTCTATTTTGCCCTAGGAAGTCTGCATTCTCATACTGAACAAAATTTTTGGTCTTGAACATTTGCGATTATTTCTTTGATCCTGTGTTCTTCTCTGGTGATAGCTTCTCTTTCAGTCATGGACAGTGTGCTTCCCACTCCCCTAATTCATAAACATGGTGTTATGGATCAGCATGTTATTAATTCACTTTCATTTGCAAATTATTGATCTGACACTACCGATTAAATTACTTCATGAGATGTAATGGCACTTTAGCATGACTTTCTATTTTCATTACCTCTATTTATGCCCAGGATTACATCAATATCTTGTTCATTTTCTTTGTAATTAGATGTGTATTGCCATATATGTCAATGACTACTGATTTCCTATTGATTTTTTATTTTTCTTCTAACAGTTTCCATTTCTTGGGCGTCTGTGATGCTAGTGTTAGCCAGTTTTGTTGTAAGTGTTAGAAAGAGAACATATAGAACCAGGAAGCTGATTAGAAAAATGATTATAAGGGCGTGATCATGGAAGGCGATTAGCTCTTCTATGATAGGGGATGTTAAAATTATCATTTTTAATTCCCAAATTTCAATGAATTTTATGTATATTAGGTTTCACTCACTTACATGGGCAAATAACACTTTGATCACATCACCCTGAACTATTCTTTGATTCAAAGATTTTAAATTCTAACACCCATAGTCATCCCCAACAGCCTAATTATTGCAATATCTATATCCAATATTTGTATAAAATACTCCCATTCCTTCAATCTTAACTTCAGCATTTAAACCATCTCAGATTTTTTCAGAACTTAAGCAGCAAAATGAATGTTCTGTCCTTCCATTGACTCTACGGTGGATCATTTAAAAAATACATTATATTCTCTTTTTATTGTTGTCATTATTATTGTTGCCATATTAGTGTGTGTGAAGTGGTATCTTACTGAGATTTTGATTTGTATTTCCCCAGTGACTAATGATGTTGAGCAACTTTTAGCCATTTGTACATCTCTTTGGAGAAACAGCTATCCAAGATTTTATTCCCGTTTAAAAAATTTGGTTCTTTGTCTTTGGTTGTCAAGTTTTAAGAGTTCTTATATATTCTGGATAGTAGATTTTTATGAGATCTTTGATTCGCAAATATTTTCTTCTTTTCTGCAGTTGATGAAAATGTGCTGAAATTGGAATCCTCAAACATTGCTGGTGAAAATGCAAAATACAGCTGCTATGGAAAGTAGTTTGTTGGTGTCTCAAAAAGCTGAACATAAAATTATTATATGAGCCAGTGATTTCACTCTTAGGTATATTCTCAAAAGAATTAAAAACGACCATGCAAACAAATACTTGTGCATGAATGTTCATTGCAGCAGTATTCACAGTAGCCAAAAGGTGGAAACATAACAAGTGTTCATCAGAAGATAATAAATAAATGAAATAGAATGGATTCATACAAATATTATTCAGTCATTAAAAATGAATAAAGTAGTTATATATGCTGTAACTAGGGGAACCTCAAAAGCATTATCTAAGTGAAAAAAGCCAGATACAACAATCATGTATTATATAATTCCATTCATATGCAGCTTCTAGAATAGATAAATACATGGAGACTGAAAGCAGACTAGTGGTTATTGGGGCTTGGAGAAGGGGGATGGGATTGATTGCCTAATGAGTATGGGATTTCTTTTAGAATGATGTAAACACCTTAGAACTAAATAGGGGAGATGGTTGCACAACATTGTAAATGGACTTAATACCACTGAATTGTACACTTTAAAAAGGTTAATGGTTAAATTGATGTTATATGAATTTTATCTCAATTTAAAATTTAAATATTATAAAATTTTGTAAAATGTCTTAAAATTCTTTCCTTCTAACTACAGTACTATCTTTGGGTATCCAGTGAGATCTGCTTGTGCTTCCACTCTTCACTGATGATATCTTTTTCATCGTATGTAAGACTTTCATTTATTTAGCCACCTTTCATACCATTTCTCTGTTTCCAGCAAGAAATGTCTCATTCTTTTCCAAAGTTACAGTTTTTACATATGTTGGCTTCGTAACCCCTTCCAGGTCCTGCTTCATCAATTAAACCTACTCTTCCTCTTTTCTGTATACCTGCCATCCATATTTTGTCCTTTCTTCTGGATCTACACATTTAACTTGATTGATTTAATATTGGTAACTTCCTTTACCTTCATTCCATATGAAAACATCTACCCTTCTTTCTTTAAATCTTAACAGCACTTATTCTGAATGAGGGAGATGAAATACAGCTAAGGCACTAGGATTGTCTATTGCATTCGAGAAAGGGTGAGCAAAATATAGCCTGTGGGCCAAATATGGCCCAACATCTACTTTGTAATTAACATTTTTGGGAACAAGTCACACTTATTCACTTATATATTGTCTGTAGTTAGTCGTATTACAATGGCAGTGTTGAGTAGTGGACACAGACACAATATTGCCCACAAAACCTAAAATATTTACTATTTGGCCCTTATAGGAAAAATAATTCAGGTTCCTATATTGAAATATCAATAGATTTCAGAATTCTATGTTAGAGTAGCAATAGGTATTTTAAGAGAGAAATCTCCAAATCTCTGAATTTACATGATAGAAGTGTATTCTCACCTAAATTCTAAGAAATAGCAATATGGATTCAGGAAACAAGCTTGCAGATGCCTTCCAAAAGTGCCTGGACTTTAACTGGCACGTGGTCAAAAAAAAAAGTGAATAATTACATAGAACTTTTCCTATTTTTCTTTCTTCTTTAATAGAATATACCTGTAATTATTATATATTGCTTCCACCAATGCCACCTTCTTTTTATACTTCTACAACTGCTCAATCATGCCTCTTCAGGGGTGCAGGCTACTAGTAACTTCTTGGAAGTTTTCTCTCCTTAGAGACCTTTCCTCCCAGTTCCAGAGATACCTGCAGCAGGCTTTGAAAATCCTCCTGGAGCTCTGGATCTTAGCTCTGGAGGGGCCTCTTCAAACTGTTTGGATTCAGACAATATCAATTCCTGGTGTTTCCTGGATCTGGCTAAAATGACAACAGTGACATAATGCCAAGTTCTGCTGAAAGGTAAATGGAGTAGACTAAGAGTCTCCTATCTCAATCCAAAGTCGGTTTGGGGGCTTGGACTGGGCAGGTCTTGCAGTAAGAGAATAAATATCGTCAGTGCTTCTAGAGATGGGAGAACACAACACTTCAGATAAACTTCCATTGTCCTGAGAAAAATTGCTTTCCTTGTGTGTCTGTTATTTATTTATTTATTTAGAGACGGGAGTTTCACTCTTTTTCCCCAGGCTGGAGTACAATGGCACAATCTTGGCTCACCGCAACCTCTGCCTCCAGGGTTCAAGCGATTCTCCTGCCTCAGCCTCCCAAATAGCTGAAATTACAGGCATGTGCGACCACGCTCGGCTAATTTTGTATTTTTAGTAGAGACGGGGTTTCTCCATGTTGGTCAGGCTGGTCTCAAACTCCCGACCTCAGGTGATCCGCCTGCCTCGGCCTCCCAAAGTTCTGGCATTGCAGGCATGAGCCACCGTGCCCGGCCCCCTGTGTGTCTGTTTTATACAACACACTCCTTAAACCCTTTGACTCTAGTTGGAGCAAGAACCAGTTACAACGTACCATATATCAAAGGACAAAACATAATGAATTCATCTACTGATCAACAATATGAGTGTTTTCTTCTTCCCAATCCTCAGTATTCTACCTTTCTCTTGTATTTCAAAATACTGAAATACAATATTTTAACTGTTATTAAGTATCTCTTTCTTTTTGAAATCTGTGTTCTTGTCTTCTTTAAAGCTCCTTGTTTTCCTCATACATATCCAAGATTATTCCACCTTTATCTCTCTTGCTAAATCTGTATCCTAGCACCAACTAGTCATTGCCCTCACAGTTAATTATGACCAGATTCTGTACTTAGTTTTAATAGCTTGTTTGTCAAAAGTTGTCTGCAGTTTCCCATTTCCCACATTCAAAGATCTCCATTATTTTATCATTTACATTTCTATGTACTCAGTACTAATGTTTTTTCAATAATTAAATGTAACATACAGAATAACATGTATATAAAGTATTTAAGTGCAATGTAGAAATAAAGTGAGCAATTGTGTAAACAATATTCTAATTCCTGTGATCAGAAATTAGAAGCCGGTAGATCTCTAAATTATTATTTTTTTAATTATAAGGCCTGCCCACTGCCTTCAGATAAATACTTTCCTGACTGATTCCCTTTTGTTCTGATTTTCTTCTGTTCTGATTTTCTTCATAGATTTTATCACCTAAGTTTTCATCTCTAAACTATAATTTCGTTTTGCATCTTTTGAATTTATATTAATGTAATCATACTTTTCAAGTTCATTTTGGCTAGCTTATTTCCTGCAGCATTACAGTTTAAGATGCATCCATGTTCCTGCACACTGCTACCATTTGCCTTTTATTGCAGTATAAAGTCTAATTGAATATGCACTTATTTCATCAGCTATAATATTTGTGAGGGATATTGAAGTTAGTTCTAGTTTTGGCAATAATAATCTACAGCTTATGAACATTCTAGTATGTACATTATGGTGTTCATAGGGGAAGTTTTATAAACAGCAGAAATAAAAATTGTGGCATAATAGGACATGTGTTATTTTAAATGTTATTAGATGATGTCAAAGGTTTTCTAAACTGAATTTACCAATTGATATCTCAATTAGCAATGAATTAGGGTTCCCATGTCTCTGTATCTTTCTTGTAATTGCTTTTATGTACAAAAGCTTTCCTGATTTTACATTTTTTTACACAGATAATGGCACAATTAATTAAAAACTATATTTTCATCATTCTTTAATAACTTCTAATAGCTTTTAAAATGTTTCGTGATTATCTTTCCCATATCTGGTTGCATGTGCTTTAAAGATGTCATATATTTTGATGTAATTATAACTGGTAGTTTTTAAAAGTTCATTTTCTAATTAGTAGATTATCTGCATAAATAAAATATCTATTTTTACATAATTTTCATATATAGCAGCTATATCAAAAAAATCTGAATGATTGTAATATTTATCTGGAGATTACTTTTCAGATGTTTTTCATATATCATCTCGCTTTTGTAAACACTTGCAGTTTGTTTTTACCTCTCCAATTATTTCACATTTTTTACTTTGTTTTCTTATATTTACTTATATGCATTTTTAAATTAACATTTCAAAATTAAATATATTTACAGTGTTTTGTTATATGTATACATGTGAATAATTAAATCAAGCTACTACCATCTGTTACTTGAAATACTTTTCATTTGTTTGTGAACATTTAAGATATTTGTTGGCATTTTTCAAGAATACAGTACATTATTAACTGTAGTCACCATGCTCTACAGTAGATCTTCAGAACGTATTTATCTTGTTTAACTGAAACTTTGCACCCTTTGAGCAACATCTCCTCATTCCCCTGGACCTTACCACCACAGCTCCTGTCAACCGCCATTCTACTTTCTGCTTCTATGAGTGACTATTTTAGAGACCACCTGTGAGATCGTGCTGTTTGTCTTTCTGTGATTGGCTTATTTCACTTAGCATGCCATATTGCATATTTATTCATATTTTTGCAGATGACAGGATTTTTTTTTAAGTCTGAATGGTACTACATTCATTTTATTTTTTACCTTTGATTATACACCCAGAAATAGGATTGCCAAATTATCTTTCTATATTGTAAAAATTTGAGGAGCCACTATATTGTTTTCCAAAATGATGGCTCCAATTTAAATTTCTACTAAGTGCATACTAGGATTTCCTTATATCCACATCCTCAGCAGCAGTTATTGTTTACTTTTTTGATAACAGCCATTTTAATAGTCATGAGGTTTGATTTTTAATGGTTCATTGTGGTTTGATTTTGCATTTCCCTTTTGATTAATGATGTTGCATATATTTTCACATATCCATTGGCCATTTGAAGTCTTTTCTTAAGAACTGCCTGTTTAGGTCTTTTGCCCCTTTCTAATTGGATTATTATCATTATTTTGCTATTGAATTGAGTTTATTATATATTTTAGATATTGACTCTTTATCAAATGTATGGTTCACAAATACTGTCTCCCATTCTGTAAGTTATCTCTTTGTTTATTGTTTCCTTTGTAATGCAAAGCTTCCTAGTTTGATGCCATCTTATGTTTGGTGTCACCTTCGTTGTTGTGCTTTTTGGGTAATAATAAAAAAATTATTACCCATACCAATGTCAAGAAACTTCTTTCATGGTTCTTTCTAGCAGTTTTATAGCTCAGTCTTACGTATATGTCTTTAATTCATTTCAAACTGATTTTTGTATATGACATGTGATATGGGCCCAATTATATTCTTTTGCATGTGAATACCCAGTTTTCTCCAACATCATGTATAAAATAGATTGTCCTGTTCCCATAATGTTTCCAGCACCTTTGTCAAAATTTGATTTACTGTAAATATGTGAATTTAGTTTTGGTATCTGTTAGTTTCCCTGCCATTGGTCTATATAACTGTTTTTATGCCAGTATTATGATGTTTTGATTACTACGGCTTTGCAGTATATTTTGAAATCAGGTAATGTGATGCCTCTAGCTTTGTTCTTTTGTTCAATATTTCTTTGGCTATTTGGATCTTTTGTTGTTCCAATTAATTTTAGACGTTTTTTCTATTTATGTGAAAAATGTCATTGGTGTTTTGATATAGATTGCATCAAATTTGTATATAAAATTGGGTAGTACAGGCAGTTTAACATTATGTAGCCTTCCAATCCATGAACATGGGATATACCTTTATCTGTTTGTGTCTTGTTTAATTTCTGTTGTTAATGTTTTGCATATAAGTTTACTAAAGATATTGGCCTGTAATTTCATTTGCTTGTAGTGTCTTTGTCTGGCTTTGGCATAAGGGTAGTGCTGGCCTCATAAAATGTATTTAGAAGTGTACTCATCTCTTTAATTTGTTCATATTTTCTATTTCTTCATGGTAATCTTGATATGTTGTATGTCTTCAGACATTTGTTCATTTCTTCTAAATTATTCTATTTGTTGAAATATAATTATTCATAGTGCTCTTTTATACCCTTTTTGTTTCTTTGCTGGCAGCTGTAACATCTCCTCTTTCATTGATGATTTTTGTCTTCTCTTCTTTTCTTAGTTGGTCTACCTAAAGGTTTGTCAATTTTATTTTAAAAAAACTGTTTTGTGGATAATTTCTATTAATTTTTGAGACTCTTCTTAATTTTATTTCTGCTCTGACATTTATAATTCCCTTCCTTCTTCTGAATTTGGTCTCAGTTTGTGATTCTTTTCCTAATTTCTTCTGGTGTAATGTTAGGTTGTTTATTGAAGATCTTTCTTCTTAATATTTGAGTTTATCACTGTAAATTCTTTTACTTTTTTTGATTTCTTCTTTAACCTTTTGATAGTTCAGGAGTGTTTGTTTAATTTACACATATTTGTGAATTTTCCAATTTTCCTCTTGTTATTAATTCCTAGTTTTATACCATCATGGTCAGAAAAAAAATACTTGTTATAATTGCAATCTTCTTGAATTTGTTAAGATTTGTTTTGTTGCCTAACATATTGTCTATCCTAGAGGATGTTCCCTGCGTATTGGGAAAGAAGGCATATTCTAGTATTCTTGGATAAAATGTTTTGTATGTACCTGTTAGGTCCATTTCATCTATAGTATTGCTTATATCCATTGTTTCATTATTAGTATTCTGTCTGGATTACCTGTGTATTGAAAGTTTGGTACTGAAGTCTCTTTCTATTATTGTAGTACTGGTTGTTTCTTCCCTCAGTTCTGTCAATATTTGCATTATACGTTTAAGTGCTCTAACATTGGGTGCACGTATACTTACAATTGTTACATCTTCTTGAGGATTGACTCCTTTATTATATAATGACCATCTTTGCGTCTTGTGATAATTTTGACGTGAAGTGTATTTTGTCTGATATAAATATAGCCACACCTCCTTTCATTTTCATGAAATTTTTTAATCCCTTCACTTTCTGCTTATGTCTGTTCTTGAATCTAAAGTGAGCGACTTATAGGTAGATTATAGATGAATCTTTAAAAATCAATTCATTCACTGTATGTCTTTTGGTTGAATAATTTAATCTAATATATTTGAAGAACTGATGAAGAGATAGGGACTTATTATTGCCATTTTGTTAGTTTCTGATTATTTTGTATTTTCTTTTTTCTTTCTTTCTTCTCTCTTTTTTGATTTGATGAGTTTTTGTAGTGGTAAGATTTGATTTATTTCTCCTTGCCTTTAGCGTACCTACTATAGGTTTTTTTTTGTTGTTGTTGTTACCATGAGGCTTAGAAAAAACATATTATAGTTATAATACTTTATTTTAAGCTGAGGATAAGTTAATTTTGACCGTATATAAAAGATTTACATTTTAACTTCTCTCCCAACATTTAATGTTGTTATCTCAATATAAATTCTTCTCGTGCATCTATTAAATTATTATAGCTATAGTTATTCTTAGTATTTTCATCTTTTAAGTTTTATGTTAGAGTTAAAAGTGATCTAAGAACCATTTTTATAGTACTAGAGTATTCTGAGTTTAAACGTATTTTTATCTTTACAGTGAGTTTTATGTATTTACGTGTTTTCATGTTAGCAACTAGTATTTTTTCATTTCCACTTAAAGAACTTTCTTTAGCATTTCTTTTAAGGCAAATCTAGTGGTAATTAACTCCTGCCCTCAGCTGTTGTTTGTTGAGGAAAGTATATTATTTTCATTTCTGAAGGACATCCTTGCTTGACATTCTGTTCTTGGCAGGCAGTTTTTTTTCCTTCAGCATTTTGAATAGATCATTCCATACTCTCCCAGCCTTCAATGTTTCTGCTGAAAGGTCAGCTAACAGTGTCATAAAGATTCCTTTGTACGTGATGAGTTGTTTTTTCTTGTTGCTTTCAAAAGTCTCTCTTTTTCCTTGGCTTTTAAGAATTTGATTATAATATCAGTATATATCTGATATTATATATTATATACGATATATATTATATATGATATATATCAGATTATAATCTCAATAAAGATCTATTTATATTAACTTATTTAGGGTTATTTTGACTTTCTGGATCTGATATTCATTTTTCTCTCCAGATTTGTGAAGTTTCCCATCATTTTAAATAAGCTTCCTGTTATTTTATTTTTCTGATTATTTTTTGACTCTCATAATGCATATGTTTGGTCACTTGATGGTGCCCCATACTTCCTATAGGCCTCCTTCATTTGATTTCATTTCTTTTAGTTGTTATTTTTGTCCCTCTTACTAGGTAATCTCAAATGATCTGTTTCTGAACTCACCGATTCTCTCTTCTGATTGACTAAACCTGCTGTTGAAGATTTCTATGAAATTTTTCAGTTCAGTCATTGTGCCATTTTGCTCAAATATTTCTGTTTGATTCTCCTTTATGATTTTTTTCTTGTTGAATTTCTAATTTTGTTCACATATTGTTTTCCTGATTTTGTTTAGTGGTCTATTTGTGTTCTCTTGTAGCACACTGAGCTTCTTTAAGATGATTATTTTGAATTCATTGACAGAAAGATTATAAATATCCATTTCTTTTCGGTTCAGCTTCTGATTGTTTATTTTATTCCCTTGGCAGTGTTACATTACCTGATTATTCCTGGTCCTCATCACCATGCATTGGTGTCTATGCATTTGAAGAATTAGGCACCTATTACAGTCTTTACAGACTGGCTATGGTAGGGAAAGCCCTTCACCAATCAGCTGGTCCAGAGATTCTGGGCAGGTTGTCTAGTGGGATCCTCAGATGGGCCTGCTGCCCAAATCACTGGGCAGGCTTGGTACCTGGGTGAGAAGGTGGGGTGATTCTGGTGCCTGGGTCCAAAGGGCCCAGCATAGATCCTGGGCCCTGGATCCACAGTTATAGGTCTGAAGCTTGGGTCCACCATAGTGATACTGCAGCTAGGATCTTCTCAGCTGCATGGATCCTCAGGTGTCTAGTCTGGCACTCTTATCTACTGAGGTATACCTGTGTATTGGGTCCATGGAGGCAGGCCTGGAGCCTATGTCTATAGGAGCAGCCAGAAACATGGGTTGATAGGGGCTGGACTGGTACCAGGATGGACCTGGAGTTTGAGATATGGGGGAAAGTCTAAAGCCGGGGTGTACAGGTAAAGTTCTGGAGTCTGAGTTTAGTGGGGAAAGCCTAGAGTCTGGGGCTGTGGGGACCAACCTGGTGCCAGAATGGGCCTGAATCCTGAGACTGTGAGGCTGACATGAAAGCTGAACTGTGAGGGCTGGCTTCACATTGGGACAGAACTAAAAGCTGGATAATCAGATTCTGTCCTGGAGCCTGACGCTGTGGGGCTGGCCTGATATCGGGGTAGGCCTGGAGGTTCAGTCCATAGATACCAGAACTTGGGGCAGTAAGGGTTGGTCTGCTTGAGTTTCACTGGGGTGGCCTGGTGCTGGGGTTCACAGCAAAGTTGGGTGCTCACTTCACACTCTTCCCTCCATGCAAGGAAGGAAGGAGTTCTCGACTGTCTTTCTATTTATTTAGGGTATGTGGATTATTAGATTATATATTTTATAGTTTTGCATTTTTCAATGTATGTTATCATCTACATATATTCTATAATACATGAAATTTTCTAGGTCTCTTATTTAGTCTTACTTATTTTTTTCACAGGAATGTTCACTGTTATTAAAGTCATTTTCCCTTAACTATTCCAGGAAAAATATAGTGAAAATTCTCAATCCATTTAAAAAATTAGTGCTGAAAATAAGATGCTATCAGGAAACTGGCTGTTTATGCCTGCTGTGCAATCTACAACTTCTTATCTAGATTCACCTACAATGTTAATATTTTCACTGGAATCTGCATGCAGATGCATAGTAGCAGTTTTTCTATTTTAATATGAAATTTTGGATTAAAGTAATTGTAGTTATTATAGCCTATATTTGGGTATGTTGATATCAAGTTTAAAGATCTAGTCTTTTAAAATAAAGATGTCTTAATACAAACATTAGGGAACATAACCAGAGACACACAGACAGAGAGAATAAAATTTGTCATAGTAAATTTATTAATTAAAATAGAAAATATTAAAAGATATTGTTAAAAAATTATTATCCCAATGAAAGCACCAAGTCCTGAGGACTTACAGTTGAACACCATCAAAACCTCAAAGAAAAGATTTCCTTGGGGCTCTTGAATCAATCAATGTTATTGATTGAATCAAAAAATGTTCTATTGAATCAATAAAATTATTCACAAATTATTTTAATAAAATCTTCATTTTACAAATATTCAAAATTGAAGCAAATTTTATTTTACCTTTATTACCAAATCATGAAATAAATCACTCAAAAGTTATAAAGAGAAAACATGAAGTAGGGAGAATGAATTTTCCTGGGGCTTACAATATTTCTCACAAAAGATTTACTAAAATTTTGTAATTTGAGCCAAAAAGAGTGATCCTGGGATGAGTGCACTTATAGAGCCAAGAAACAAGAGATTCCTGACTTTGATGCTTTTAAAACTTTGATTGAATATGGCACATCAAACTCATTCACAAATATCTAAAATTCAAACACTTTCTCAGTTTTTTGTTAGCCAGAATTACATAATCAAGAGTTAGGATACTGAAAATCTAACAAATTTTATTTTATATTTTTATCACATTACATTTTTAGTGAGTTATTTATTTTTCAAATAGCTATTAAACAGCTATTCTTTACTAGGGACTACTCTAAGCTTTGGAAATGGAACAATAGCTGAACCAGGTAAAGTCTTACACTTCAGTAACTTACATTCTTGTAGTGGAAATATATAATAAATGAATGATAAAATAAATATATAGTGTGTCAGATAATTTTTAAAAACACTGAAAAGATTTTAAGAAATAGTGCATTGGGGACAGAGTGTGCTGGAGAATTAAGGAAGGCTTTCCTAATACTGGGACAGTTAGCCAGGATGTATGCAATGATTGTTTAATGGAAAAAATTTTCAGACAAAATTATGTTTAAAGATTCTGAGGTAAAACTGTACTTAGCCTAATTGGAGAAGGGCAAAAGGGTTAGGTAATTGAATCAGGTAAAAATGCAAGAATGACAGAAAATGGAGTCCAAAAAGTAACGTAAGAAAAGCAGCTTTTGGCTTTTGAAAAGTATATAAGTCATGGCAGAAATATTCATTTTATTTTATTGAAACAAAAATCCATTAGAAATTTTAGATTAAAGGCATGATCTTCATTACTTCTAAACTATTCACTCTAGTTTTATATTAAGGAAAGATTTCCTGGGACGAAGGAAGTGGTGCTGATAATTGTGGAAATAGGATGTATTAGTTTGTTTTCACGCTGCTGATAAAGACATATGTGAAAGTGGAAACAAAAAGAGGTTTAATTGGACTTACAGTTCCACATGGCTGGGGAGGCCTCAGAATCATGATGCGAGGCAAAAGGCACTTTTTACATGGTAGCGGCAAGAGAAAAATGAGGAGGAACTAAACGCGGAAACCCCTGATAAACCCACAGATCTCATGAGGCTTATTCACTATCATGAGAATTGCCCGGGAAAGACTGACCCCCATGATTCAATTACCTCCCGCTGCGTCCCTCCCACAACACGTGGGAATTCTGGGAGATACAATTCAAGCTGAGGTTTGGGTGGGACACATCCAAACCATATCATAGGACATCATTTAAAAGACTATTGCAGGTATTCAGTTGAGAGCTAGCATTGATGGATGGTAACAGTGCACATATTGGTTAATAGTTACATTCTGAATCTATTTATGAGAACGAATCCACAGTACTGATAATGTATTGTATATGGGGTCTATTGGAAGAGAACAAAGATGACTCTAAGGTTCTGTGTTGCAACTGATGAGTAGAAGAAATATCATTAACTGAGACATGAAAAAGTGCAAGAGAAAAACTTTACTTTTTTCTACTACAAACTCATAGATGACTATCAGAAATCTAAATTGAGATGCTGAATGGACAGCTGTATTTATAATTCTGAGATCCATGAAAAATTCTACAAACACACACACACACACACACACACACATGCACACACACACAAATGCACAGAAAGAGAGAAAAAAATTATCTAATGAGAAGTTTATATTCTGGATAACTTAACTCTAACTTGAGAATTTAAGAAAAACTTTGAGCAACAGAAAGATGAGGCCAAAAAGAAAATGAAATAAAAGTAAAATCAATATATTTGACTATTGGAGAATCATCACATATATTCCACCCTACTTTTGGAGTGCGTATGCTTCCTCTAACCCTATGCAAATGGATATTTATCATTTTTTAAAGAAATTAAGTATCTTCAGCAATGACTGTGCATACTTACAATGTGAGATCGCTCTTAAAAATAGAGCACTTAAAACCAGAACACACTTCAATATTAGCATTTTTTTCTGTTCTCACATGTGAATGATTTTTTTAGACACCAAATTGTTTGTTGGATGCCATTATACATCAAAATTTTGGAAACCTTGATCCATTCTATTAAAAACTTCAGGCCATTCATCTATTTTGTATTTGATTGTGACCTTCCTGCTGTCCCTCCATCCTTAGACAGGAACTTTGATGATCAGCTTTTTCTGATGTTTAAATAGTCCTGAAATTCATTGATGACATATTTTAATATAGATCTTTTACATTTATTGTCTTGGACATGTGGTTAAGATTGTTTCTTCATTGCTGTCTTTGTTTGTGCTGCTATAGCACAATACCACAGTCTGGGTAATTCATAAAGAAAAATTTATTTCTCACCATTTTTAGAGGCTGGGAAGTTCAGGATCAACTTGCCAGCAGGTTTGTTTTCTAATGAGGATCCAATCTCTACTTCCAAGATGGCACTTTCATCCAGAATGAAGGTAGAGGAACACTGTTCTCACATGGCAGAAGGTAAAATGGCAAAAAGGGACAATCTCCCTCTGTCAAGTCCTCTGATTAGGTGACCTAATCCCATTCATGATGGAAGTGCCCTCATGGTTCAATCACTTCAAAATGCCACATCTCTCAATGCTGTTGCATTGGCAATTAAGTGTCAACATGAATTTTGCAGGGGACAAAAACATTCAAACCATAGAAATTGCTTGGAAATTATATATTTATATATAACCAAGGAATAGAAAAATACAGAGTCAAGGAGTTTAACACAGGGTAGTCATAGCAATATACAGTTAATTTCTCTTTCTGAATAGGGTCATTAGAGTATATTCATTCTCACATGTTGTGCTTGTAATGTGATGTTGATACTGTTACTGTTGACTGGAAGAGTCCATTCCTCTTGAACTTCACTAAATTATTGTGTCTGCTTCTCTCAGTAGCACATGCCAAGAGTAAAACTATTTGTCTTCTAAATCCAAGTATAAAAAAGTTATGAACTTCTCCTTTGTTATTTTTGGGATGCTTTCTCTGGAATGCAGCCATCATGCTTTGAGGAAGACATGTACCTACATGAAGAGGTCCTATGTAGCCGTTCCAACTAGTAGACCTAGCTGAGGTCTCAGACTACAGCCTGTATCCACCAACAGGTACATGAGAGAGCAAGCCTTCATGTTATAACAGCCTCCCCCTGTTTAGTTTTATAAAATAAATCATAATAATCATATATTTTGACTCATCACTGAATATTATCGTAATGAGAATAACTACTGACTGCTAATTTAATGTTAAAAATCCATACATTTATTGGATTGGTAGCAGAAAGGACCCAGTGAAGATTTTAAACCTTTTTCTAGCAAAAAAATGAATTAGTTAATAATATTTAAAATTGATTATTCCAAAAATATATATATAACCATTTTTATTTAGAATGAAACATTTATACCAAAGGAATTCTCCATTTTTTCAACCTTCATCACTACTGCTTTTTAAAATATACACCTCTGTTACTCAATATAAATTAAAATAATATTTTAAAAATTATGAACTGTGTTCTTTAATTTGAACAGTTTATTTATTATGGAAAGTATAATTTGCAATAAGTCAAAGAAGATTTGGGGTCCTCAAAGTCCTATTTTTTTTAGATAAATACAAATTTCCCAGCTATCAGTTGTGATCTCCAAATACAGTCATCAAATAATACTTTAAGTACCCATATTCTAGCACTAAATTTTTTCCAGTTTTGTTCATAAAACTGGTGCCTTCCTACATGAAACCATTATACCTCTTTTTTTAGGCAAAAGATGCTATAGTATGATTTACATAAGGTCAGAGCCATCTTTACTGGTCTATTCTAAGTTCTTTTTCACATGTTATCTTGCTATGCTGGAAAAATTTTCAACTTTCTAAAAGTTCTTATAAAACCATTAATTATACAAGAGTGAAACTCTTGTGACAAAATATAGAGAAAATAAAACTAGGTTTATTTTATTACCTCCATTGAAAATAACATATCCTTGGTACATAAACGTGTGGGAGAAGACCAAGATTGTCTTCAGAGAGGGTAGAATGAGGTAGAAAGAGAACACTGTTTGTTCCAAAAGAGTGCAATATCTGCCTTTGTAGAATATTGAATTTCCATCAACTCATTCCATAATTGGCTACAAATTTTATGCAGTTTAGTTAATTAAAAACACTGATAAAACACTACCAAGAATTTCCATATAAGACTTTATTAAAGGAAAACAATATGTTACTGCAGGAGAAAGAAAACACAAGCAAGTATTAGGGCTTTGAGAGACTTACAGAAACGGCATCCTAAAGTGTATGCTTTGTCTGGAGTAGGATAATATAATATATATGAGAAATCTTGTTTGTAGAACTCCCACAAAAGTTTTCAATGGGGTCTTTTATGTCTTTCAAGTCAGGGAGTCAGGCCTGTCTAGCAGATTACAGCAGGTAAAAGCCAACAACAAACAAGGTCATTAGAGAAGGCTAAAACTTTAAACAACTCAGTATAAGTTATTAGTTAGCTGACTCATCCTTATTTTGTCAAGAATCAGTATTAGATCCAGTCAGCACTATAGGTAAGCATATAGCTTTTCAAGGTCCGCTATCAAATAACTTGATTTTGCGCACTGTCACATAGTAGGCACTCAATAAATATTTGCTAAATGCCTGAAATACTGTAGAGCCTCTCACCAAGCAGAAACTATAGCCCCAATAGGTAAAATACATGCTTTGAGGCAAGTTATATCAGATTATTAAAAATATGAATTAAAACTGGATGAAACAAGTTCAATTCAAACTTGGATATCAGCAGTAATAATTACCATTAAAATAAGAGAGGTCAATTTATTCATTAGTTCATGCAGTCAGTCAAGAAATATTTGTTGATAGTCAACTATATACCACACATAGCACTCCTTATTACTATTATTTATTTATTTATTTATTTTTGAGACGGAGTCTTGCTCTGTCACCAGGCTAGAGTGCAGTGGCATGATCTTGGCTCAGTGCAACTTCCGCCTCCCGGGTTCAAGTCATTCTTCTGCCTCAGCCTCCCGAGAAGCTGGGACTACAGGTGTGCGCCACCATGCCTGGCTAATTTTTTTTTATTTTTAGTAGGGATGAGGTTTCATCATGTTGGCCAGGATGGTCTCAATCTCTTGACCTTGTGATCCGCCCGCCTCAGCCTCCCAAAATGCTGGGATTATAGGCATGAGCCACCATGCCCGGCCAGGACTCCTTATTTTTAAAATATATTTAGCCTCCTCTTTATTATTTGTAAAACGTATTTAGGTAGGATGTTTAGTAGAATCCAAAACCCTTATATATATCAAGAATCAGCCTGTAATTCAGGTTTCTTGAAACAACTTTGCATTAATCTACAAAAACCAATCCATTGCTTCAAGAGTATTTTACTTGGATGTCAATAAGAAATAACTGAGGAGAAGAATATGAGTCACTGGGAAGCAAACTGCGAAGAATTAAAATGGCCATACAAATACAGCCAAAGGCCATGGTGAAAGTGTTATCCTACTGCTGTAATAACCATTTGGGTGGCTCAGTACAAATTAGGGCAGCCAAGGTTTTCTGGGTCCACAAATGATCTCTAGCTGCATCTTAGAGAATGCAGAAGGTAGCCAAATGATAAATTAACTGAACTAATAAACATTTTCTGTAGCGGGGATTACAGATAAATCAGCATAGGTCATTGCACAGACTGTTACTAAGGGACTTAGTAGAGAATGGGCTAGAAAAGAAGACTTCTACAATGTTTTACTTCACTTTGTAGCCATGGATTGCATTTATTATGAAAAAATAGTAAATATGTTAAAATGGTTTAGATCCATATTTCAAATATATCTAAAATTTAACATCTATTACGCATGCAAAATGTTTTGTGAACACAATATTTTAGAAATATTGGTATTTCAACTGTGGTACTCTGATAGTTGCAATTTGTCTTATTAAGATGTTCTTATTATGGAAATTTGAAGAATTGAGTATGATTTTGTGATGTTTTAGTTTGCTTTTTTTATATGTAATATCATAATATTCAATCAAAACACCATAAATGAGCTCAAAATTATTAACAAGTAAGACGTGTAGTCAGGTTATAGCAAGAATAACAAAAAGCAAATTTTTTAGCCTGCCTTTCTCTACCATCAGAAAAAACACAAAATCAAAGCTGATAAAATTTATTATGTGCACAACTGACCATATACCGGACTGAGAACACAATAGTACTCTTTAATAATTTCCTTCCATTTCTCCCACCCCACATGCAAGAGGAAAAATATAACTTTATTATCTTATTTATAAAAATGGGATCCAATTAAAAATACATATTATATCTAAATGTCTGTTATTATGGGTGGTTTTATCATGGGGTTAGCTATGTTTATAAATTGTCCCTATAAATCATAAATAATGAAAAGTCTAATTTAATACCACAACAGAAAGTGTTTTGTTTTATTAATTAGTATTTTTTGTTTATGTCTTTACCATCAAATGCATGTGTTCTCAAGCATTTGGTGAAAATGTATTTAATATAATAATATGACTTTTGATTTTTGATAATGGATTTGTGCATTGTCTATTTTATTTTAATTAAAGATAGAAAATTGTATTAGAATCATGGGCCCTGTATTGACTTAATATCTTTACTCTCTAGTTCATCTTGATAATTCATTTGTTATTGTAACTCATAGAAAATAGAAAACAGTATGCATCATTCTTTTCCCAGCTTTTGTTTTCTGAAGGGAAAAATTATATAAACCTTAGAAAGTTTCTGAACAATACAATTCTACAAGCTTTGTAACAACATCAGTCATGGAACCTGAAATGTACTTTGCAAAATATAGCTGATGTACATTAAATATTATCAGTAATCTACTCCATATAGCAAAATACTCCCTTGTATTTCCACCCTCCACAACATGCTTATTTCTTTTTAGAATGACTATTTTGTTTCTTATTTATGGCTATCCTCCTAAACATGTATTACTTTATAGGGGAAGATAATAAAAATAAGAATTTAAGCTGTCCTGTGTTTTTCAGAAGACTATATTTTTATGGCCATTTAGAGCTCTTTAACTACTTGTTTTGCTCTCCTTGCCAATTTTTTTCCCAAGCCACAGATGTCAATTCCTACTCATCTGCTGCTCTGTTTCTTACTGACACCCTGCAGATTGCATGGGTTGTATTCCAGCTCGAATTTGAGCATTTGAGTAAGATAGGAATTTTAAAATCTGTTGTCTTTCTTTAACTTCTCTTTACCTCCTTCCCACACAGTTGTATACTTTTGTAAACAAAAGTATTTTGTAATTTTTTATTTTAATATTTTAATGTTAGGCAATTGACATATGCATAGGTCTTGGTTTTGCTTTTGAAAATTCTCAAAATGCAAAGCAATTCCCTTTTCAAAAATAATTTATAATAGGAAATTGTATATTTCAAAGACCTTAAAATGGTAGTCAATTATGTAGATATTTAAAGCAACAGATACCATCATTCTGAAAAAGCAACAAAAATGTCATATTACAATATGTTTTAGTGACATTTGGTTTGTCACAGTCAATTAATATTAATTTCCAAATATTTTAATATAGTTTATTTTTTTGTAAAGGATAATCTAAAAACAAATAGTCAACATTTTTCAATACGTTAAATAGTTGGTAATCTTTTGTGATATTTTATAAACATTTACTTCTGACAAATAAATAATGATTTGAAATCATCCTCAGTCAGTGGCCTCTCTCGGTAGCATTTTAATGTTTACAAGAATCTACGACCGTTTCTTTGTATTTTCAGTCTTCCATCTTTAGTGGTATTACAGCTCAACAGTTTAAGCTATCCAATATATTTAAGCTCACTCACATCTTACTTTTAGGAATATATAATTAATTATTATGAGAGTCAATGTTTAACTCTTTACTGTACACACAAATTACCTGAAAACTTCTTTAGTAACCAGTTTTGATCTCCACTAGAAGAAATGGAATATGTTTAGAAATGTTTAAATAATTTGTACATTTGGTAATTTTGATACCAGGGCTCTTTTTTGCCCACATCTCAGAAACTCTATACAAGAGAAGAGGTGGTTAATTGCAACATGAAATATTTTCCTATCCATGAGCATTTTTATTTTACTGTATGATTTTAAGCAAAGGGATTTAGTCATTTATTAATGGATTGGGAACAAACACAATAAGAAGAATGAAAGAGATTATGTTTTCCTGGAAAATCCTTAAATTGTATCATATTAATACTTTTACAACATTTCAATACACTATGACAGCATTATCTGCAAAATTATTTTAGATAAAAATATTAACAACTTGCTGTTCCGTGAGTGAAAAAAATTTACAAGCAGATTTTGAAGTCAGACTACTTAGTGTCAAGCTCCAGCTCCTTAATGTACTCAGTGATATAAACTGTGTTCTAGTTAACAGATTTACAAAATTCCTTGAAAACATTGTCAGCACTTCATACAGTTATCATGAAGATAAAATGGGTGATAACATCTAAAACATTTAGAAGAGCGTCTCACTTATCACATGTGCTTGTTAAATGTTAATTCTGATTACCTGTTATTTTGGTGATTAAGTCAATTATTACTTAATATTATTTTTATTTTAACTATAAATAACACACAATAAAATATGCTGATATATTTGGGCTAGCCAACTCTTCTAATAAAGATTTACAGAAAAGTTTCCTCCTTTTAATTAATGAAGATGCTCTTCGATTTTTGTAAGAAAATTTACCTTTGTTATTTTTGCAAATCCCAAGGAATATATAAAAATAGAACAATAACATATTATTGGGAGATAAACAGTCTGAAAGTTCCCTGCCCACATTTTGACTCACAAGAACTTTTAAGAAATGAATCATGCGATAGATGTACACAAAATTAGATCTCTCATTAAATTCCTGCTATGCTTTAATGGCTTCAAAAGTTTAAAGATGTTGTATATAATTAGAAAATTATAATGTATTGTGACTTAATTCCATGAAATCATTTTACCTCAAAGCTTTGTCAAATCATATTATTTCTATTGCATATTTACCTCAAATGATGACTTCTTAATTCACACAAAGTTTCAAATGTATAATTTAAAATCATATGAGCATCTGTCTTTAGCAATATCATTGAAATCTTGATATTCTACAGTCTTTAGTACAGATGGCTGAAAAAATGAATAGTCCATGTGGACCATTTCAGTTTTCTGGTCACTGCTCTATCATGTAGAGTCCCCAGGGCTCCCGTGCCTCCTTTATTTTGTTTCTGGCAGCCTCGTGTACATTGCAGTGTTCCTATTCTCCTCTGCTCATTCCTTTACTCTCATAACAATCCCATTTCGTATTGGAAATTGGCCTTCTCTGAGGCTTAAATATTGTTTTATTTTCTTTATGGTTTCTATATTCTAAATGAAAACTAAGATTTATGATGCCCTGGAGAGACCACTTGGTTTCAGTCCTTCAAAGAAAAATGCTGCATTAAAGACAGTGTTAGTAACCCCGCAGCGTATCAGAGCATTTTAGGATGTATTAGCTATCCTAGAAAGAGAGATAACAGCATGCCTGGTTATGGAGCTGACAATTATTGTATGTGCTAATGTGATATTACGAATATTTACAACATTTCTTAAATTACTCTTTTTCTAATACAGTGATCAACACTAGACCTTTCCTAGAAATAACTCCTACCCAGTCATCAGCTCTTCACCTATTCTCTGTATATCACCACACAGAAAGTGAGGAATAACCTCAAGGGAATTCATCTGTTGTCTTGTAAAAGAAGAATCTGTCTTTTAGGATAAATGAGAGGCATCAATAAATTCCACAGGATGCCATATAAGTTGCATTCCCATCCAAAGCAGAAACAATGATTATTTCTAAGGTTTACCTTCAAAGGATTAATTTTATATTATTTTCCTGAACTCCAACTAGAATAGTGAATGAAACAGCCCACCTTTAATCTACCTATCATTTTAATCACTGTCATTTTAACTCCTTGTACATCCCAATTTCCATTTTCTATTTATTTTCCTTCTTCTAAGACTTAAAGCAGAGGATCTTAGAGTTAAGGAGGGTCAACCTTAGGAAATACCATTGACAAGGTGGGTCGTTTTTGAGATATTGTAAGTATTTCCTTCCAAGTCTGTGTACTCCTGTCACTAGACAAAAATTATTTGGCAAGAGTTAGAAATGACCTTCAAATTACTAGTGTGTTTTTTATTTCTATATCTCACTGAATCAGAATCACTGTAATTAAGTTATCTCTCTTCAAACTGTTGCTTCCTTGACTTCTGTAACACTACTTTCCTGCTATTGGTTGACTATCAAAAGCCATGTCTTTTCATTTGTTGCTAACAAAGATTTAATTTTGTGGAGATATTCACCACTATATTTATTTACAGAAAGGTTTTAACCACTTTATGCCAAAATAAATAATCTTGTATCTAACACAGAGGTCCTCGACCCCCGGGTCACAGGCTGGTACCAGTCTGTGGCCTGTTAGGAACCCGGCCACACAGCAGGAGGTGAGTGATGGGCAAGCATTACTGCCTGTGCGTGGCCTGCCGTCAGATCATAAGCAGCAGCAGATTCTCACAGGAGCACAAACCCTATCATGAACTGCGCATTCAGGGGATCTAGGCTGCCTGAACAGTTTCAACCACAAATCATCCCGCCACCCACCATCCCTGGAAAAATTGTCTTCCACAAAATTGGTCCCCGGTGCCAAAAATGTTGGGGAGTGCTGATGTGACAGATTCCTTTGGTCGCAGTCTCCTTGCTAGTGATTAGTAAGAGGATGCACATGGTGCCTAATTATGCCCTCTGGAACCCGAGAGAGAGCCTCTTGGTCAGCTTCTGGGAAAGGTTTTCTTTGATAATGCAGACAGTTGCTGGAGGAAAACACCTCTCTTCTCTGGATATCGTCCTGTGTTCACACAGCGTTAGTACTGCTATGGCCATCTCATGACCATGAGGGAAGGTAATACCAAGAGGTGGGGATGGCAGCATAGAAAGGGCCCAGTTCCTTGAAGACGTTGCTGAGCAACTGAACTAACCAACCTTGAATTGTTCCTATTTCCTACTTGCTTATTATCTCTAACTCACATATAATTCTAGCATTTCAGTGGAAAACATTCTAAATCATTTATGTGGATTTGGGGTGAATCTTTACTAGGCAGAGAATCAAAAAATAATTTCCTTAGGAATGGACAATGTCTGGGCAATGTCAAGGCCCCGTGTGAGGAGTGGTGTCCCCATTTCCAATCAGACGGCTGGCAGCACTCACAGAGGGCACAGGCAGTTAGATTAATTTTTTCCTGAGATACATTCTGAGGTATTTTAGAAATAATCTTTAGTGTAATGTTGGAGTAGTAGAGAGTCAAAACATAGTCATCAGATTGTAGTACCATTGATGTCAAGTACAGGGCAGTAGAAATAATTGAAGAAGAAATATAAGCAGTTGTTTTTTTTTTTTTTTGACGGAGTCTTGCTCTGTCGCCCAGGCTGGAGTGCAGTGGCATGTTCTTGGCTCACTGCAACCTCCGCCTCCCAGGTTCAAGTGATTCTCCTGCCTCAGCCTCCCAAGTAGCTGGGATTACATGTGCGTACCACCATGCCCAGCTAATTTTTTGTATTTTAGTAGAGATGATGTTTCACCATGTTGGCCAGGATTGTCTCGATCTACTGACCTCGTGATTTGCCCACCTCGGCCTCCCGAAGTGCTGGAATTCCAGGCATGAGCCACCGGGCCCAGCCAGAAGGTTATGTTTAAAGAGTGTTTAGTGGCTGACATTTTGGTGGTATCAATGTCCATGATATAAAGATATTATATGACTGAAGTAGAATGGGAAAAAATTTTGGATAATAGTTTGAGGAGCAGAGAGAATAAGTTGCCACAGAGATCTTAAGTTTCGTGACATGTTGTATAGAGAAAGTCAGTGAGTCAAGTGCTAAAGTCACCATTTTCAAAGAGAAGTGTTGATAATTTTTAAAAATCCACTTATTTAAAAGCCTTTACTGAGCATTTGCTATGTGCTAAGTGCTGTGCTTTACTGCCAGATGCCAGCATTACAGAAAAATCAAAAAGAAACATGTAACTTAATGCACTCATGGAATTAATAGTCTAACAGGGGCCACAAACATGAATTGAAAAATTTTGTAGTACAGAGGTAAAGACACATATTTTAATGAAGGTGTCAAGTGAAAGGATCTGACATAAATCAAGGAGTCCAGGAGATTTTTCAAAGGAAGAAATACTTTCTCTGAGAACGAAGGATAAAAACTTAATAAGATATATATTAAAACAAGATTTTGAAATTTGGGAGGAACAAAATTATGACCAAAGGATATGTGTAAGATGTAATATAACATAATTCATAAAAAAATAAGGCTGTCCTGTTTGAAATATAAGAGGAAGAAAAAAATGTACTAAACTTGTAGAGATGAGGAAGCTGGTCGTATGAAGGATTTGGCTTCAACAGTAATAGAATTTTGCAAGCTAGTCAAGTGTGTTAAACAAGAAAGTAACATGATAATATCAATTTTCAAAGATTAAATTGTCCGAGCTTGGTGGCTCACGCCTGTAATCCCAGCACTTTGGGAGGCCGAGGCGGGTGGATCACGAGGTCAGGAGATCAAGACCATCCTGGCTAACACGTGAAACCCCGTCTCTACTGAAAATACAAAAACAAAATTAGCCGGGAGTAGTGGCGAGCGCCTGTAGTCCCAGCTACTCGGGAGTCTGAGGCAGGAGAAGCGCTTGAAGCCAGGAGGCGGAGCTTGCCGTGAGCCGAAATTGCAAGATGGCGCCACTGCACTCCAGCCTGGGCGACAGAGCGAGACTCCGTCTCAAAAAAAAAAAAAAAAAAAAAAAAACAAACAAACGAAAAAAAGATTAAGTTGTTGCTGCAGTAACAATTACTGTAGATGATTTATCTGAATAAGTTCCAATGTGAAAATGGCATTCACAATGGAATTAGCATTGAGAACTGTATTATTAGTATGTTCAGCTACTAGTGATATAAAATGCACAACAAATTTAAGTTGAAATAATATAATTTATTTCTCTCTTACATAAGCACTATATATATATATATATATATATAAGCAGCATAATTTCAGAACCTCAATTCTCAGATCCAGGAACCCTTTATGTTTCTGTCTACACTTTGCATCAAGTGGATTAGACATTATCCAAAATGGCCACGCCAACTCTGACTCCAACCAGCAACCTAGCCAGTTGGAAAGACAGAAGTGCAGTAGAAGAATACGGTGTTTTCTTTAAGAATACCTTTCTGAAAGGTACATATGCTGCTTCTGTTTGCATCCCATTGGCCAGAATTTAGTCACATTGTCAGAACTAGATTCAAGGGATCCTAAAAATGTAGGCTTTACTTTTTGCTCAGCAAGCATTTGGAAATTCTACTATGTGCTAAGGAAGAAGGGAAGAATTAATATTGGGGACAATTATGTATTTTCACATAGGGTATGAGGTGGGCATCAATCTACTATCAGTCATAAGATTAATGCAGTGTGAAAAAATAAGCAATCTTTACATGTATAGGTAGCTACAAAAGCTCTCTTGATTTTTAATAAATATTATGCCCTATTGACAGAAGCAACAGGTACATCATATTGTTTCATTAATGCGAATTAAAATTGACCAATGGAAGAAAAATGACAAATTGTTACCATTACATATCTAAAAGGGTAATATCTTGCCCTTTTACTAAGTTTAGTGAGTAGTCTAGAGAAGAATTTGCAGGAGTTGTGAAACTATATGTGCCCACAGTCACCTGTGTACATTATCTTTGAATAGTGAGGGTTAGGCTCAGGAACAACCTATGACCTCAAGATAGAGTGAGTAACATTTTGAAAATTGGATTCTTGATTTCTTGAGGTTGCTGAATTATATTTTCCTATATTAGTAAGCATGATCTCAGAAAGGTGGTTTGGAACTTTCAAATTTTTATTTTAAAAATTACGAAAAGACACATTCAAAAACATGATAAGTAAATCTATATGAAACTCAAAATAATACCCACAGGAAGAAAATAAAAATAACAAAGCACAACGAGAGAAAACAAAAGAGTAACTAAAATGGCAGAGCTCTAACATCACAATAATTACCTTAAATATCAGAACTCTAAATGTACCAATCAAAAGACAGGGACTGGGCCAGGCACGGTGGCTCACGCCTGTAATCCCAGCATTTTGGGAGGCTGAAGCAGGCAGATCACCTGAGGTCAGGAGTTCAAGACCAGCCCAGTTAGCATGGTGAAACTTCATCTCTACTAAAAATACAAAAATTAGCCGGGCATGGTGGCGGGCTCCTGTAGTCCCAGCTACTTGGGAGGCTGAGGCAGGAGAATGGCGTGAACCCGAGAAGCAGAGGTTGCAGTGAGCCGAGATTGTGCCACTGCACTCCAGCCTGGGCGACAGAGCCAGAATCCGTCTAAAAAAAAAAAAAAAAAAGGAAATTAAAAAACCTAACCCAGCTACGTGCCATTTATAAGAAACACATCAGCCGAGCACGGTGGCTCACGCCTGTAATCCCAGCACTTTGGGAGGCCGAGGCGGGCGGATCACAAGGTCAGGAGATCAAGACCATCCTGGCTAACACAGTGAAACCCCGTCTCTACTAAAAATACAAAAAATTAGCCGGGCGAGGTGGCGGGCGCCTGTAGTCCCAGCTACTCGGGAGGCTGAGGCAGGAGAATAGGAGAATGGCGTGAACCCCAGGGGGCGGAGCCTGCAGTGAGCAGAGATAGCGCCACTACACTCCAGCCTGGGCGACAGCGAGACTCCGTTTCAAAAAAAAAAAAAAAAAAAAGAAACACATCAAATTCCAGTTCAATGAAATACAGGTTGAAAGATTTAAACTTAAAATGTGAATGCAAATATTAGTTAAAAACGCAGGAGTTGTTACATCTTTAATTAAGTAGAAGATAGTAAAAGAAAAAATTACTGGAGAAAAAGGGGAACATTACATAAAGATTCAAGGATGAACCCATCAGGAAGACATAAATATTGAGATATGTACATATGTAACAGCAAAACTCCAATATATGAAACAAACACTGATAGACCTGAAAGGAGAAATAGAAAAATTCTCAATTATAGTTTGAGACTTCAACAGTCTCCTCTCAGCAACCGATAAAACTACTAGGCAGAAAAATCTGCAAATATTTAGAATATATGAACAACACAATCAACCAACAGGATCTAATTGACATATATAGAGCGTTCCTCTCAACAGAAGAATGAAGGTTTTGTTTTTACAACTATCCATGGACTATTCATCAGTATAGACTGCAGCCTGGGACATAAAAGAAACTTCAGAAAATTTTTAAAAACTGGAATCACACAGATAATATTCTCTGACCGTGAAGTAACAGAAAGACTACAGTAAAATATATGAATATGAGGAAATCAAAATAATACACTTGTGAATAACCCATGGGTCTAAGAGAAGGCATAAAAGCAAATTATATGTGTGTGTATGTATATGAATTAAATTAAAACGACCACATTTTAAAACATGTGTAATGTATTTATGGCAGTATTGGGTTCATAGCATTAAATGCTTACAATAGAAATGAGGAAAAGGTTCAAATTAGTAATTTATGCTCTCCCTTAAAATCCTAAAGAAAAAAATGCAAAAAACAAAATCCATGCAGAAGGAAAAAAAGTAAACACTACAGCAGGAATCAATGAAATTTTAAAAATAACAATAAAGAAAATAAAACAAATACCTTGTTATTTTTAAAAAGTCAATAAAATTGACAAACCTCTAGGAGTCTAGACAAACATAAAAATAGAGGAGACACAAATCATCAATATCAAGAATGAAAAAGGGGAATTTCATTCATATCTTGTGGCCATTAAAAGAATAATAAAGGAGTACTATTGCCATTTGTCTCATAGAAATAAAAATTATACTAAACCCTAAACAAAAATACACATCGTAGCTTTAATCATAACAGTCTACCCTGGAAACAATCCAGATGTCATTTAATAGGTAGAGGATAAGTGATAAACAAACCATCTTATAGATGGTACATCCATCTTAGAGAATAACTACACAGCAATTAAAACAAACAGAAACACAGCGACACATCCCACAACTTGGGTAAATCTGAAAGAAAGAAACAATCTCCAAAGGTTACATACAGGTTGATTTCATGTACAGGACATTTTGAAAAGCCAAAATTAATTAATAGTTGCCAGCAATTAGGGTGTGGTGGAGGGAAGACAGGTGGATATTAAAAAGGCAACAGGAGAGTCTTGTCGTGATGAAACTGTTCTGTATCTTGACTGTGGTAGTGGCTATGTGAACCTACACATGAGATAAAATTGAAATCCATACACACACAACACAAATGAGTACAGGTAAAACTGAGGAAATCTTAATAATAATGTACTGTATCAATATGAATATCATGGTTGTGAGTATAATACTGTAGTTTTGCTGGATGTTAACCATTAGGAGAAGCTGGGTTAAGGGCATATAGGATTTCCGTTTTATATGTTATAATTTCATGTGAGTCTATAATTATCTCAAAAAATTAACTATAAAATAAATAACTAGTGTTCTAGACAACCGTGGTTTATACCTTCCCTCATTAATATTTTAGAAAAGGAACTTAGTTATTAAAAATTTAACCTGTAAAATAATCCTAAATTCTGACTTAATACCTGTTTCGTCTTTATTGTTCATCATATTCCTTTATATTTCACAAACATGTTGCATTAGTTTATGTATCTTTGGAGGCAAATAACAAAAACAAACAAATGAAACCTTAGGTAGCTTAAATAGTAAAGAAGTGTGTCCTATATGAAGGGAAATTCAGTGACAGTGAACCCTCATGATTGACCAGATTTGGGGCTTAATGGCATCATAAAAATTTACTTTCTTTTCTCTTAACCACATTTGGTAGACAGGATTTTACGTCAACCTAGTTTCCTTCTTGGTAACAAGGGGTACGCAGCTTTATTATATATCATATCCAGAAACAAATGTGTCCAGAGGAAACAGAGATCACAGATTATATATTCATGTAGGTCTTTCTTTACATTGAGCAAACTTTTCCTAGAAATTCACTCACACCTACTCTTGTTTTACCCCAGTCTTATCTGCCTTCCTTTAATACCTCATTATCAATTTTTAAGTGTTCAAAATGGAACTAGTAATGGAAATTAGTACTACTAGTAATGGAAATTAAATCATCAAAATTCTCTCTCCCAAACTTGTGAGGGGAATGAGGTCAGATTCCCCTGAGGAGTAGGATGTATTTTTGTAAGTCTTCTTAACTGCTTCCTGTTAACCAAACCTACAATATCATCACTCTAATGGATGAATATGCTATCTAGGAGTTGCATGTAGTTTTACTTACTATTCCAGTTGTGGGAATTTTTACATGGACCATTTCATTTGTGTTCATAGAAATGTCTGATCCATCACCAGTCTCAAATACTATTATCTTTATCTCTTTTTTCCCCTCTAAAGTATGGTATGCTTGGTAGGGCTGACTCCAGAACTCCTAGAACTTCAGAAAATTCTAGATGTTCTGTTTAACTAGGGATGTTGGAAAGAGGCCTTCGTTTCATCTCTACATTGGGGTAAATGAACCATTTCAGCAAAAGTTAGGCCATAGCAAAGCCCTGTCTCCAGATAACTAGCTTACTTATTTGACTACTTACATTTTCAAGCTGCAGCATGTAGAACTCCGATTAATGTTAAATATTTTGTTGTTTCACATTTTTTTCTGAAAGCAAAAATCTCTATCCCTGCCTCAGTCTGTTCTTACTACCTGCCCATTCAAAGTAGGTGGTTCACTTTCAGTTCAGAAAAATACTTTTAGAAGCTGAAATAATTCTGTACAGATATTAAGACCCATGGACTGAAAGATTTCTATTTTATATGGCACTACTCTTATTCTCTTGCTCTCTTCTGTGGCTACAGACATTAGATTACCTGTCAAAAGGCATTCCTTTGCAGAGGCTGAAAGCTCTATTGTCAGCTTCTAAGACTTCATTATAGCTGGATTGGTCACATGACCTTGCTCTGTTAAGTTGTAAGCAGAAATCCCTGGCGATGCTCTCAGCCAAGCTGATGACAGAGACAGGATGGGTTGGCTTACAGGATTTTCCTCTTTGTGTCTCTGTACCTTTGGTCTTCCCTATTCTTTCTATCTGTGACACAGATTGAGGCTGGGAAGGGCTACAGCCACATTGCAATCATGAGGAAAACAACTACACACTAAAGGAGAAAACAAGCAGACAAAGGGACCCAGAGTAGTGACAACAGCCTGGGATTCATTAGAAGTCAACCTGAATGATAAAAATGAGGCTTTATGTTGGTAGACCATTGTGGCTGCATTATCCGTTTCTTATAACTACATGTACACAACTCACTGAAGCAATCTGTAAATTAGAGAGTATTGGTAGAGTTTTTCAGTATGTCATTATACAGTTTTAGCAATATCTCATTGCATTAGTGCAAGTTGTGAGCCAACGGCTGGAGACTTACCCAGCAGTGTGATGATGAGAATGGAGATGATGATGACTACAATTAAGATGATTATGACAACTGCAATACACATAAAGATATTGACCTCTTACTTTATATCAGACATTATTCTAAGTACTTCATAGGTATTATTGCTTTTATCTTTCCAAACAGTTATTGTGACTGAAAGCCATTCTGTGTCTATTTTACATGAAATGAAGCTGAGCTCAGAGTTAAATTATTTGCTCAAAATGACAGTAGGGTTGTGGCAGAGGTTGAATGCCATTCTGGGTTTGCCCGACTCCAGAGCTGAATGTATTCATTCTTGCTAATTATAACTGCATTGTGACTACTTGAAAACATTAACGTATTTGACATTAGTGTGGCAGTATTTCTCAATATGAACACCATTGAAAATTTTTATTTCATCGTGGAAGTTTCCTTTTAATGAAATGGAAATTTTCTCCAAGTGCTGTGTGATGGCTGAACCACTTTTAATTCTCTGAGTTGGCAAAAACTGTAGGAGAGTCTTCATAGAGTCTCAATCCTGTAGAAAATACCAAAAATATCATATAATTAATGTTTTCTGTGAAGGTAGCTTATTTTTCCAGATGTATAAATATGAATACAGATTTTAAAAGTATAGACATATTTGAAATTGTAAACATTATTTCTTTTGCAATGGTTGTAACAGTCGGAAGACAATTTTTTAAATGAGTAGTTTTCTTTCTCACTTAAATATCATTTTGTGGGTCAAAAATAAAAGCAAAACTAAAGAATCTTAAGTGATTAACTAAGGAAAATCAGTTTTAGAACATTTTCCACTTTAAAGATAACATTTAATCTGAGTATAAAATGTAAGTTTCACAGTAAAATTTATTTTCAAATTATCATATTTTTGTTAGCTTAGGTCTGTCTAATCAATCCGCTTTGGGCTTGAATTATATTGAAGTTACTTAGCATAAAAATATACCACTAACAATTACATATTTTGTGTTATTTATGCAAAGATAGTAGTGAGCTTATACAAGTAATTCATGATCATATTTTCTAGATATTTTAACATGTATTAGTTTGAATACCCAAATTGGAAGAGAATCACTAGTAGGTGAGTCTTCATCTGTTTTTTGGAGCAAACATTGTCATGGATTAATTCTTATTATCCAGTTCATGCTGTAACACAATCACAGCGATCATCACTGGGGAGGCAGCAGACTCTGTTCTTTTTATTTGTCTGAGATTTTTTTCTAAGTTGTTGTACTCTTTTGATAGTAATAAATTCCATTATATCTCCTAGATTTCAAGTCAACTATAGCTACATCTAAATGGAATACAAAATCAATAATGGATGATATTCCAATTAGATAGAATAGTGTGAATGACATTTTGCTTCCAGGTGTCACATACAATAATTGCTGTGATAGGTATTAGAAAGAATAGCCAAATACTGTAATTTCAACAATAAATTTGCATGTATTTTTGAAAGCATAATCATAAATACAAAAAACGACAAACCTGCAAGAGCAGATAAGGTAAGATTGTTATGCATATGAAGTGTTTGCTCTTTGAAAAACTGCTTAATTATGATACTGCAATATAATCTGTATATTTGCCTCATCTGTGAGACTCTTTCATAAATCACATCCCAATGGATTACAAAACTGACACAGTGCTAAGCAACACAGAACCTGTTTCTGTTACTGCAGTAACAGTAGTCGCTGCTTGGATTGGTTTCATTCTGTGTTACTGTTAATCTTTCCTTCTTTATTCATTTTTCGAAGACATTGTCGAGGGCACATAATGTATATAGTAAACATTACAATTCTGAACAAATATACAGATATGGAATTATAAACCCAGGGATTCCACATGAAAGCAGTGTAGAGTACAACTCTAGTTTATTATATGATAGTGTATAACACGTACATCTTATTTTATCAATGGATGTCCAGTATCCTGTCTGAGTCTATTTGTAAGTGCTTAATTTTGGAACACTAAAATATTATTTTTCATTTTGACAAAGCTTCCATTTAAAGCTGTTAAAACTTTATCAATATTAGAACCAACTAAAATATAAGTATTTTAGATAATTGTTGTGTTTAATGGCTTCATACAAATTGTTGTGATTAATGGCTTCATAAATAATTCTGAAATTATTTGACTAGACAAGATGATATTTTTTGAAGGTATTTACATTGCCATTATATCTAGTGTATTATATGTGTATATGTATATACACATAGATGTGCAAACAATATATATTATTACATTTGCTGTTACTTGCTTTTTATGGTTACTAAATATATTAAACTTAGAATGAAAGTTTACTTAAAATTTAACTTTCTTAGGTTTCTGTTTATTATATTCTAGTTACATATCATCTTTCTGGGCTATCATTCTTTATTGTTTCTCTTAATGTATGAAAAATATGATGAGAAAATAATCTCAGTGAATTATGAGAAAAAAGTGGAAGTACTTTTATACTATTTCTCAAGTATTTTTATTTTAGTTATATTATTAGACAGACCTATTTGTCTTAATTCCCAGTTTTATGGAAGTTCACAAGTCTGTAGGTCATAATCTTTAAAGATCAATTTAGTTCCTAACCAACCAAAAGATCAGAGCTGGGCAAGCATAAGTTAAATACACACCATTATCATGTATTTACCAACTTTACATTGGAAATATAATTGATAAAAATGATAGGCCGGGTGTGGTGGCTCACACCTGTAATCCCAGCACTTTGGGAGGCCAGGGCAGGTGGATAACCTGAGGTCAGGAGTTCGAAAACAGCCTGGGAAACATGGCGAAACCCTGTCTGTACTAAAAAATACAAAAATAGCTGGGCGTGGTGGCGACTGCCTATAATCCCAGCTACTCGAGAGGCTGAGGCAGGAGAATCTCTTGAACCCAGGAGGAGGAGGTTGCAGTGAACCAGCCTGGGAGACAGAGGAAGAATCTCTCTCTCTCTCTAAAAAAAAAAAAAAAAAAAAAAAAAAAAAAAAAAAAAAAACAATGATAATGAGATATTTAAAAAGTTCTATATGAGTAATGAATAAGATACAAATAAAATGATGCACATGCAAAGAATATTGATAGAAATTAGAAGAACAAGAAAGCAACAGAAAGTGAGAAAAACGAAAGTTTGGAAAAGGTAAAAATAAAGTTAAAATAGTGATAGTTAAGGAAGCCCCAGTATACCTTTCATAGCAGGATCCTGAATTTAATGCAAAGTGATCCTGAACTTTTGAATTAAACTGAGCTGGAATCCCTTAAACCCATATCTCTCATCTTCTCAATAAGGAATAGTGAGTTACACCTTATGCTTATATTTTGCTCATCTCAGCTGGCAGTAAAATTTTTCACAACACTTCTATATGTCTGTTATGAATATCACTGCCACTCTTATTTTATTTGCCCAGCATTAACAGTAATACTCCTGACATATTTCATTTCTGCAGTACACATTTTGGAATAAAAACAATAGGTATAAAATTTCTTTTAGTGGCAGTTTTTGAAAAATGTGCAGAGAATATAATTTTTTCTTATCCTGAGTATGAATTTCAAGACTTTTTTTGAAAAAAGATTGTATTTGCTCTGTCGACCAGAAAAACAGAAAAATGAATAGATTTTATAATATATATATATTTTTTGTTATACTTTAAGTTCTAGGGTACATGTACACAACGTGCAGGTTAGTTACATATGTATACATGTGCCATGTTGGTGTGCTGCACCAATTAACTCGTCATTTAGCATTAGGTATATCTCCTAATGCGTCCCTCCCACCTCCCCCCACCCCAAAACAGGCCCCAGTGTGTGATGTTCCCCTTCCTGTGTCCAAGTGTACTCATTGTTCAATTCCCACCTAGGAGTGAGAACATGCAGTGTTTGGTTTTTTGTCCTTGCGATAGTTTGCTGAGAATGATGGTTTCCAGCTTCATCCATGTCCCTACAAAGGACATGAACTCATTATTTTTTATGGCTGCATAGTATTCCATGGTGTATATGTGCCACATTTTCTTTTTTTTTTTTTTTTTTTTTTGAGACGGAGTCTCGCTCTGTCGCCCAGGCCGGACTGCGGACTGCAGTGGCGCAATCTCGGCTCACTGCAAGCTCCGCTTCCCAGGTTCACGCCATTCTCCTGCCTCAGCCTCCCCAGTAGCTGGGACTACAGGCGCCCGCCACCACGCCCCACTAATTTTTTGTATTTTTAGTAGAGACGGGGTTTCACCTTGTTAGCCAGGATGGTCTCGATCTCCTGACCTCATGATCCACCCGCCTCGGCCTCCCAAAGTGCTGGGACTACAGGCGTGAGCCACCGCGCCCGGCCCACATTTTCTTAATCCAGTCTATCATTGATGGACATTTGGGTTGGTTCCAAGTTTTTGCTGTTGTGAATATTGCCACAATAAACATACGTGTGCATGTATCTTTATAGCAGCATCACTTATAATCCCTTGGGTATAAACCCAGTAATGGCTGGGTCAAATGGTATTTCTAGTTCTAGATACCTGAGGAATCGGCACACTGTCTTCCACAATGGTTGAACTAGTTTACAGTCCCACCAACAGTGCAAAACTGTTCCTATTTCTCCACATCCTCTCCAGCACCTGTTGTTTCCTGACTTTTTAATGATCACCATTCTAACTGGTCTGAGATGGTATCTCATTGTGGTTTTGATTTTCATTTCTCTGATGGCCAGTGATGGTGAGCATTTTTTCATGTGTCTGTTGGCTGCACAAATGTCTTCTTTTGAGAAGTGTCTGTTCATATCCTTCACCCACTTTTTGATGGGGTTGTTTGTTTTTTTCTTGTAAATTTGTTTGAGTTCTTCATAGATTCTGGATATTAGCCCTTTGTCAGATGAGCAGATTGCAAACATTTTCTCCCATTCCGTAGGTTGCCTGTTCACTCTGATGGTAGTATCTTTTGCTGTGCAGAAGCTCTTTAGTTTAATTAGATACGTTTGTCAATTTTGGCTTTTGTTGCCATTGCTTTTGGTGTTTTAGACATGAAGTCCTTGCCCATGCCTATGTCCTGAATGGTATAATCTAGGTTTTCTTCTAAGATTTTTATGGTTTTAGGTCTAACATTTAAGTCTTTAATCCATGTTGAGTTAATTTTTGTATAAGGTGTAAGGAAGGGATCCAGTTTCAGCTTTCTACATATGGCTACCCAGTTTTCCCAGCACGATTGTTAAATAGGGAATCCTTTCCCCATTTCTGGTTTTTGTCAGGTATGTCAAAGATCAGATAGTTGTAGATGTGTGGTATTATTTCTGAGGGCTCTGTTCTGTTCCATTCGTCTATATCTCTGTTTTGGTACCAGTACCATGCTGTTTTGGTTACTGTAGCCATGTAGTAGAGTTTGAAATCAGGTAGCATGATGCCTCCAGCTTTGTTCTTTTGGCTTAGGATTGACTTGGCAATGTGGGCTCTTTTTTTCGTTCCATATGAACTTTAAAGTAGTTTTTTCCACTTCTGTGATGAAAGTCATTGGTAGCTTGATGGGGATGGCATTGAATCTATAAATTACCTTGGGCAGTATGGTCATTTTCACGATATTGATTCTTCCTACCCATGAGCATGGCATGTTCTTCCATTTGTTTGTATCCTCTTTTATTTTGTTGACCAGTGGCTTGTAGTTCTCCTTGAAGTGCTCCTTCACATGCCTTGTAAGTTGGATTCCTAGGTATTTTATTCTCTTTGAAGCAATTGTGAATGGGAGTTCACTCATGATTTGGCTCTCTTTTTGTCTGTTATTGATGTATAAGAATGCTTGTGATTTTTGCACATTGATTTTGTAACCTGAGACTTTGCTGAAGTTGCTTATCAGCTTAAGGAGATTTTGGGCTGAGATGATGGGGTTTTCTAGATATATAATCATGTCATCTGCAAACAGGGACAATTTGACTTCCTCTTTTCCTAATTGATACCCTTTATTTCTTTCTCCTGCCTGATTGCCCTGGCCAGAACTTCCAACACTACGTTGAATAGGAGTGGTGAAAAAGGATATCCCTGTCTTCTGCCAGTTTTCAAAGGGAATGCTGCCAGTTTTTGTCCATTCAGTATGATATTAGCTGTGGGTTTGTCATAAATAGCTCATATTATTTTGAGATATGTCTCATCAATACCTAATTTATTGAGTTTTTAGCATGAAGTGCTGTTGAATTTTTTCAAAGGCCTCTTCTGCTTGTATTGAGAAAATCATGTGGTTTTTGTCTTTGGTTCTGTTTATATGCTGGATTACATTTATTGATTTTCATATGTTGAACCAGCTTTGCATCCTAGGGATGAAGCCCACTTGATCGTGGGGGATTAGCTTTTTGATGTGCTGCTGGATTCGGTTTGCCAGTATTTTATTGAGGATTTTTGCATCAATGTTGGTCAGGGATATTGGTCTAAAATTCTCTTTTTTGGTTGTGTCTCTGCCAGGCTTTGGTATCAGGATGATGCTGGCCTCATAAACTGAGCCAGGGAGGATTCCCTCTTTTTCTATGGATTGGAATAGTTTTAGAAGGAATGGTACCAGCTCTTGCTTGTACCTCTGGTAGAAATCAGCTGTGAATCCGTCTGGTCCTGGACTTTTTTTGATTGGTAAGCTATTAATTATTGCCTCAATTTCAGAGCCTGTTATTGGTCTATTCAGAGATTCTACTTCTTCCTTGTTTAGTCTTGGGAGGGTGTATGTGTCCAGGAATTTATCCATTTCTTCTAGATTTTCTAGTTTATTTGCATAGAGATGTTTATAGTATTCTCTGATGGTAGTTTGTATTACTGCGGGATCAGTGCTGACATCCCTTTTATCATTTTTTATTGCATCTATTTGATTCTTCTCTCTTTTCTTCTTTATTAGTCTTGCTAGCGGTCTATCAACTTTGTTGATCTTTTCAAAAAACCAGCTCCTGGATTCATTGATTTTTTGAAGGGTTTTTTGTGTCTCTATCTCCTTCATTTCTGCTCTGATCTTAGTTATTTCTTGCCTTCTGCTAGCTTTTGAATGTGTATGCTCTCGCTTCCCTAGTTCTTTTAATTGTGATGTTAGGCTGTGAATTTTAGATCTTTCCTTCTTTCTGTTGTGGGCATTTAGTGCTATAAATTTCCCTCTACACACGGCTTTGAATGTGTCCCAGAGATTCTGATATGTTGTGTCTTTGTTCTCATTGGTTTCAAAGAACATCTTTATTTCTGCCTTCATTTCGTTATGTACCCAGTAGTCATTCAGGAGCAGGTTGTTCAGGTTTTGAGTGAGTTTCTTAATCCTGAGTTCTAGTTTGATTGCACTGTGGTCTGAGAGACAGTTTGTTATAATTTCTGTTCTTCTACATTTGCTGAGGAGTGCTTTACTTCCAACTATGTGGTCAATTTTGGAATAGATGCAGTGTGGTGCTGAGAAGAATGTATATTCTATTGATTTGGGATGGAGAGTTCTGTAGATGTCTATTAGGTCCGCTTGGTGCAGAGCTAAGTTCAATTCCTGGATATCGTTGTTAACTTTCTGTCTCGTTGATCTGTCTAATGTTGACAGTGGGGTGTTAAAGTTTCCCATTATTATTGTGTGGGAGTCTAAGTCTCTTTATAGGTCTCTAAGGACTTGCTTTATGAATCTAGGTGCTCCTGTATTGGGTGCATGCATATTTAGGATAGTCATCTCTTCTTTTGAATTGATCCCTTTACCATTATGTAATGGCCTTCTTTGTCTCTTTTGATCTTTGTTGGTTTAAAGTCTGTTTTATCTGAGACTAGGATTGCAACCCCTGCTTTTTTTTGTTTTCCGTTTGCTTGGTAGATCTTCCTCCATCCCTTTATTTTGAGCCTATGTGTGTCTCTGCAAGTGAGATGGGTTTCCTGAATACAGCACACTGATGGGTCTTGACTCTTTATCCAATTTGCCAGCCTGTGTCTTTTAATTGGAGCATTTAGCCCATTTACATTTAAGGTTAATATTGTTATGTGTGAATTTGATACTGTCTTTATGATGTTAGCTGGTTATTTTGCTCGTTAGATGATGCAGTTTCTTCCTAGCATTGATGGTCTTTACAATTTGGCATGTTTTTGCAGTGGCTGGTACTTGTTGTTCCTTTCCATGTTCAGTGCTTCCTGCAGGGGCTCTTGTAGGGCAAGTCTGGTGGTGACAAAATCTCTCAGCATTTGCTTGTCTGTAAAGTATTTTATTTCTCCTTCACTTATGAAGCTTAGTTTGGCTGGATATGAAATTCTGGGTTGAAAATTCTTTTCTTTAAGAATGTTGAATATTGGCCCCCACTCTCTTCTGGCTTGTAGAGTTTCTGCGGAGAGATCTGCTGTTAGTCTGATGGGCTTCCCTTTGTGGGTAACCCAACATTTCTCTCTGGCTGCCCTTAACATTTTTTCCTTCATTTCGACTTTGGTGATTCTGACAATTATGTGTCTTGGAGTTGCTCTTCTTGAGGAGTATATCTGTGGTGTTCTCTGTATTTCCTGAATTTGAATGTTGGCCTGCCTTGCTAGGTTGGGGAAGTTCTCCTGGATAATATCCTGCAGAGTGTTTTCCAACTTGGTTCCATTCTCCCCCTCTATCAGGTACACCAATCAGATGTAGATTTGGTCTTTTCACATAGTCCCATATTTCTTGGAGGCTTTGTTCATTTCTTTTTATTCATTTTTCTCTAAACTTCTCTTCTCTCTTCATTTCATTCATTTGCTCTTCAATCACTGATACCCTTTCTTCCAGTTGATCAAATTAGCTACGGAAGCTTGTGCATTCGTCATGTAGTTGTTGTGCTATGGTTTTCAGCTCCATTGGGGTCATTTAAGGACTTCTCTACGTTGGTTATGCTATTTAGCCATTTGTCTAATCTTTTTTCAAGGTTTTTAACTTCTTGCGATAGGTTGAACTTCCTCCTTTAGCTTGGAGAAGTTTGGTCATCTGAAGCCTTCTTCTTTCAACTCATCAAAGTCATTCTCCATCCAGCTTTGTTCTGTTGTTGGTGAGGAGCTGCATTCCTTTGGAGGGGGAGAGGCACTCTGATTTTTAGAATTTTCAGTTTTTCTTCTCTGGTTTCTCCCCATCTTTGCGGTTTTATCTACCTTTGGTCTTTGATGGTGGTGATGTACAGATGGGGTTTTTATGTGGATGTCCTTTCTGTTTGTTAGTTTTCCTTCTAACAGTCAGGACCCACAGCTGCAGGTCTGTTGGAGTTTGCCGGAAGTCCACTCCAGACCCTGTTTGCCTGGGTATCAGCAGCAGAGGTTGCAGAACAGCGAATATTGCTGAACAGCAATGTTGCTGCCTGATCATTCCTCTGTAAGTTTCATCTCAGAGGGCTACCCGTCCGTGTGAGGTGTCAGTCTGCCCCTACTGGGGGGTGTCTCCCAGTTAGGCTACTCGGGGGTCAGGGACCCACTTGAGGAGGCAGTCTGTCCGTTCTCAGATCTCCAACTCCTTGCTGGGAGAAACACTACTGTCTTCAAAGCTGTCAGACAGGGACATTTAAGTCTGCAGAGGCTTCTGATGCCTTTTGTTTGGCTATGCCCTGCTCCCAGAGGTGGAGTCTACAGAGGCAGGCAGGCCTCCTTGAGCTGTGGTGGGTTCCACCCAGTTTGAGCTTCCGGGCCACTTTGTTTACCTACTCAAGCCTCAGCAATGGCGGGCACCCCTCCCCCAGCCTTGCCGCGGCCTTGCAGTTCTATCTGACTGCTGTGCTAGCAATGAGTGAGGCTCTGTGGGCATGGGACCCTCTGAGCCAGGCGTGGCTGGCGTGGGATATAATCTCCTCGTGTGCTGTTTGCTAAGACCATTGTAAAAGCGCAGTATTAGTGTGGGAGTGACCCGATTTTCCAGGTGCTGTCTGTCACAGCTTTGCTTGTCTAGGAAAGGAAATTCCCTGACCCTTTGCACTTCCCGGGTGAGGCAATGCCTCACTCTGCTTCGGCTCACACTCAGTGCGCTGTACCCACTGTTCTGCACCCACTGTCTGACAAGCCCCAGTGAGATGAACCTGGTACTTCAGTTGGAAATGCTGAAATCATCCATCTTCTGTGTCACTCATGCTGGGAGCTGTAGACTGGAGCTGTTCCTATTCAGCCATCTTGGAAAAATGAATAGATTTTATCTTCTATTTATTTTAAATCTAAATAATTATTCTAAATAAATAATTCTATTTATTTTAATTCTAAATATTATAGTAGTAATTATTTGTTAATTATCCAATTCATTTATCCTCCATCCATGGAGACCAGAGAGAGTCAGCACACTAACAGTTAATTCATGACTCCACAAATGGAAACAAGAGTAAACCATCCCCAAGCTAAGACCACATCTCTTAGGAGTTTACCCAAATCAGAGATGACCAGAAGCGGATCTAGGCAGGTGAATAAGACCACATTTCACTTAATCTTTGCTTTGTCTTTATTAAGGGTAAAAAAAAAAGAGATATCAATATTAGAATAACATACTGATTTCCCAGATGTGCTCAATCCTATCAACAGTCATCAAGAAGGAAGCCCATGAACTCAGTGGAAGCTAACCTGTCTTTCAACAGAGAAGATGAATCAACTCTCATTCTGGTTGTAAATGTTTGTCTCCACTGAGCCATTTACCCTCATCATCAGGGCAATCAGTATAACTGAAATAAGAACCTACTTGTTTTTATACACGAGAGTCAAGAGAGACACAGATACTCACCCTTCTATCTCTCCTTTCACCTACAGCTGTACAATAACTGTCTGCCTTGAATCTACCAAGAACATTAATTCCTGTTCATGTCAGTTACAATACACATTTCTAGAATCAAGTCAGCCATACCTCCCAGATTCTAATCCTTATCAGCTCTGCACATTCCTGTCTGTCCCCTTCCTCTCCTCTTTCAAAAGTGCTTAAGCCCTCTCAACGTTCTCTTAGAATGCAAAGTCTTCCAAATCTCAATGTCTTCTGTGAATACTGCTCTCAACATTTTGCTCTATTGGGAAATTGGCCTTCCTCTGAAGACACCACTTTTCCTACAGCCCACTCAAGTGATGGCTCATTTTCGTTTGTTTTCCTATAAACTTCATACATTTGGGCTTGGAATGAGAAATATAAATTTTATTTGTTCCCCATTTCCACTATTTGTCCTTTCTCCCTGTGCTTTTCTCTAAAATTTCCCCACTTCTATTCCTGTGTCATCATACTACATCCCCCACTACACTTAGTTGTCGTTGTAATTAAGTTACTTTCCTTATTTCTTGTGGTTTTATTTTCTAGCGCAATGTTATACTCTTAGACTCTATTTCTGCCTTATCTTAGTGATTTTAAAATACATTTAAGTAATCTTCCGCACACCCTGGCTGCACAGTTTCTTGCTCTCTTCTCTTTCCAGTGAGCTTGACCTCCATTTCACCATAGCCATTTATTCACATGGTCATATCTTATACCTATAATCCCTACACTCACACACCCTGCAGAATCTCAGCAAACTCCAATCTGTCAGACACAGAGCTGACTACTCGCTCCAGATAGTTTACTGTCTCAACATTAGCTCACACTGCGTTCCTGTTGGTCATGTCTTATCTCTGCAAAGCTGGGTCTTCAGTGATTTCTGTGACATAAATTGAGTGCTGTTTGAAATTAATGTGGGATAGGCAATGAGATATCAGTGTCAAATATGATTCCAAAACCTAAGGAGCTCTGCAGTGCCCTACAGGCACCCACACTGCATTAGTCACCAACTGTGATTAGTCAAGAATGAAACAATGTATGTGTATTATTAATGTATATGTTTTATTTTTTCAAAAGGCAACTAAGTTATTAGAGCATAAATATTTCTTATTGGGACATAACTACTTACTAAAGGGAACTCTTAGAGATTTTTAGAATTTGTTTTGTCTTTTTTGGGGAGGAGGAGGATTGAAATGCTGTGAAGAAAATTACTGAAACAGAATGAATACCACTAAATCAAAATGTTTAACAATGCTTGCCCTATATAAAGAGATTACAAATAGCTAATAATGGCATTTGCATAAGTCTCTCTATAACACCAATTTATGTGCACGCTACTCACTTCCCAAAATCCATCTAAGTATTTACATCACTGAAGTATCTCAACTCAAACATCTTTTGAATATACTGGGCTTACAGTGCATTATTACTACCACCTCTCACTTTCTTCAGGCCAATGATGTCTTCTCTCGCTTTGCTGTACTTTCTTGAGAGGGCCACAGCTTTAGTTAAATCAGCTCTTCAGCTATGTCATGCCTGCACTCTTACATCTGAGTGTGGCAGGAGGAAAACAACCACACTGACTAATTTCACTACCCACTCGATTGGCATACTCAAGTGAATTTGTGATGTTACCCAGAAATTACAGTGTCTTACTCCCCTAGATGTCTTACGCCCACATTTTCGGTTGTTTTTGTTTCACTAAACACAATAAGAAAAAAAAAGAGAGAGAACTAGAACTGTCTAGTCTAGTTCAGATTTCCATTCTCTAAAACCACATGCCCATCTGTCCTGTTATCTTGAATGAATAAGCTGTGCATGCTTTTAACTCAAGCCAATTCTGCTCTTGCACTACTGTCTACTCAAGGACATTCCTCCAGCAAATTTCCACTCTTTCTTCTTTGTCATCCATTTTGTTTTTACTATATGAAATATTAAAATAGCCTTAGGGCTAGACATGGTGGCTTATGCCTATAATTTCATCACTTTGGGAGGCCGAGGATCACTTGAGGCCAGGAGTTTGAGACCAGCCTGGGCCACATATGGAGAACCCAATCACTACAAAACATGTTCTAAAAAATTACTCAGGCATGGTAGCACATGCCTGTAGTCCAAGTTGCTCAGGAGACTGAGGTGGGAGGATCATTTGAGCCAAGGAGGTAGAGTCTACAGTGCACTATGATCATGCCACTGCACTCCAGCCTGGGCAACAGAGTGAGATCCTGTCTTTTAAAATAAAAAAAAAATAGCCCTTAGTGAATGCCACTATTCCTGTCATGAAATGACTCATTTTTAATTTCAATTTGCAAGGAAACTCCTAAAAGGTTTTAATGATGATAGACATTTCTCTTCTCGTCTCTCATTCTTTATAAAATCAAATTCATTGAGAATTTTACCCCCGCATCACCACCCAAACTACTGATTTTCAGATCACGAATGCCTTCCATGTTGCTAAATTCAATACTCAATGCTTGATTTTCATCTTATTTGACTATAGCTGCTTTTTAGGTTTTTGTTTTTCTGTCTTTCATTTTCTATGATCTGGTAGGATGAAAAACTCCTTGACATGACTCAGTGTCCTACAGTTTCCAATGGAGTGGAATAATTTTTGCTACTCTGTGGGATAAGTACTACCTAGCGGGATGCACACTGAAACTTAATATGACTGAGGACGATATAAGGGTTCAAAGAAATCTCAAAAGAGGAGGCAACAGTTACACTGACATTTTAGGGACATGAAAGGGTACGATAAACTAGTCTAAGTTCAGGCCATCTAAGTGAAAGGAGACTGTGAACCTCCTGTTCAGCAACATTCCTGAGAGAAGAAACCACAGCTATTTAGGAAGAGAAGCAATTTGTTGAGTATTTGGTACAGACTCAGCATGTACCATTGGAATCCAGGTTTCAGAGAAATTTGTTGAGCTTCTCTGCACAAGATAAGGGATGTGTTTATTCATTTTGGACCGAGCAAAAAAGTAAGAAAAGTTTAAAGACCCAAAGGCTGTGTGAGAAAAAGTGAGGATGTACTAATTTTAGTACATCCATTATAGCATGGATGAAGAAGATTCATAAGGAAAGAAAAGTTTTACAAGGTGACATCTGAAATAAACATTCTCTTCTTCAGTCTTATCAAGTTTTTAGTAAAGTACATATTGCTTACTATGCTCTTTATTTCAGAACAATTTTAAGGTAAATTGAACTCAAAGAGGTAAGGTGCTGATTTCTACCTCCTGGTAGATGCAAAGCAATGTCAGGTGAAATGCTGGTGGAAAAAGATTTGAGCTGGCATCAGGGTTAACTAAGAATCTATTGTTTTAGAAGTTATTGATCTATTTTTTAAAATGAACTTTATTTTGGAAAATAAAATCCCTAACCCGAGGAGATGCTCCAAAAACAAGTTTAGCAAATTCTATCGGGTATTTCCTCTCTTAGAAATTCCTTTAGTTTTATACTATAGACCTAGCCCTGTGTGACCCACATGGGGAAGGGTGGTTTCACTAAATGAAATGAAATCCAACATAAAGAAAAGGACTTAAATACAAATAAAATTGATAAATTATTTTAAAAATAAATTTTATTAACCAACCAAGTAAAAATGACTCTAACAAAGGGAAGAATTTATTTGCAATGTTGTTTGTTTGTGAAAATAAATGCCTATTAACTAAATGATTTTGTTCTTTATTTAGTAAGTATTATTAGTTATAGACTGGGCTGAGGCAGTGATGAATAAACCCTGAAATTGTAGTGTTTAACACAATAAAATTATTTCTCTGCATGTACATATTTCATAGTTTAATAATTTGAGTTATATATAATGATATGAATAGATGAAAGGTGATTAAATAGATTGATTGATTGATAGATGATAATAGATGAAGGCTGAGTTATTCTCCTGTATGACATGATGCTCTCTAATTCAGGCTGCTTGCATAATCTAACTTACTATTTCATAACTGTTTAGACAAAATAAATTCAAAAATACATATTTGCAGCTTATTTCTGTGATCAAAAATAGCAAAGATGTTAATTAATGTTTTTCATTGGCAAAAATTAATTGTATGAGCCCACTTAAATATGTAAGGACAGGGAATTGCCCATAGATGTGGTCATACTAACACTTCTTTGTGAAAATGCTGTTTCTTTTTCCAATAAGTTTCCCTAATGTTGCTCAATTAGGAAACCTACTTTTGGTTACATTTTAGCTGGTTATGAAATAAGTTCATCATTTCCTCACTAGTTTGGATGTTGAACAAAAACTTATTACCACACTTTAGTGCTACATTCTATTAATGTGGTGTTCACATGAATGAAAGTTGCATAAAATATAAAAGGCAATCTAAAGGGAGAGTCATTGGAGTATGAAACTGGCATCTGACATGCAAATTTGTTTCATAATCAGCTAAAATGGAAGATAGAGCAAATTGAAATTCTGTAACTGTATATAGGAAAAAAGTCTCATTACTTTCAGGAGGATTATTTAGGTTGCAGACACACATAGTACCATTTTATACTATTAATACATAGTAAATTAGAAAGTCTGAACCTTGTTTGAAGATTATAATTGTTATATCCTATTTATATTTTTAAATTTAAATTGGCAAGCATTTTTGGAGCACCTACTTCCCTCAAAGCACTTTACTAAAGACTGGGAACTAAAAAGATCAATCTGACATATTTTCCAAAGAAATAATTTAAATGCTACTCAGAGAAACAAACACATAATAACTTCAAAACAAAGCAAATGAATGACTGTCATTATAAATGAGAACATAGGGGATAGAGATTATTTCTGATCCAAGAAATTGAGAAATTTTTCTGAAAGGAAGTACTCATTTAGTAATGGCCAGAACAGGGTTAAGCAGACATTAATGAAAATGATACCTAGTAACAATACCATGGGCAGAGTCACAGTACAGGATGTTTCAGGTGAAGTTCTGGAGATAATCTATTTTTTTTTAAGCTGGAGCATATAGGAAGATAGAATAACAATGATGATGTTGACTTTATTGTTAGTAGTAAATAATCAATTGAATACTTGCTCAGTGCTAAACATTCTTAACACCTCATATATAGTAATACTGATTAATTTAGTTCTTATGCAACTGTGTAAAGTAGGTTATGTTATTATTCTCATTTTACAGAGACAGAATTGAGAGATCAAGTATTTTTAACAACTTTATACATCTAGTGAATTATACATGTGAGATTCAAACCCAGATCCTATGGCTGGTGGGTTAGAAAAATGTGAAAATGACCACAGTATGAGATAGATGGCTTTGATTACAGGATGAGATACTTCTTTTTTGTTATTGTTTCTTTTTTACTCTATGTATTATGGGTTTATCTATATTTGAATCAAACAATCAGATCTGCTTTCTATTAAAAAAAAAAAACAAAAACAAAAACTTAACACGAAACCAGAGAGTATGCTGAAGTAGGGAAAGCCTAAAGGTGGGTAAAACTTTTTCATTCTTGAATTATTGCCAGTGTGAATTAGGAAAGTGCCAGTAAGATCAAACGGAGAAGAGAAGAAGTGAAAAGCATGACTTTATGATGTAGATTCAAAAGAGGACTTAAGAAAACCACATTGTTAACTGGATGTAAGCAAATAAAATAACTTAAATGCCAAACACTGGCCACAGTGAAAGTTGTAGTAAAATTTACCATCGACATGAGAATTAACTCATAGATGCACCTAATAAATATTAAGAAAGAATGAAACTATGAAAAAACAGGAGAAAGAGCAGAACAAAGGTAGAAGTTGGGAAAAAGAAACGAGAGCTTGAGTAAAGCAACTAAGTCAGAACTGAGGAAGGTAAACTGCAATAAAACTCCAAAGGCATTCATTAATTAAAATAAAGTTACACCGATTTTGATGTCTTTCTGTTTGAAAGGTACAAAAAGTCAAAGCCCAGCCAGAGGCCCACCCAAGATGAGAAGCCTAACAGGACACTGCCCACAGGCTGCACCTTCAGAGTGAGAGTTACATCTGTGTTCCATCATCTCACATCTTTAGAAGGAGTCTAGGGGCTTTTAGGAGTTTTTTCCACTTTAGTTATAAACTCAAATATAGGGTTGTGTATTAGGTTACACTAATTTCAATAAAGGAACCCCTATGGGAGAGTCTAGAGTATACATAGAAAATGGAAAGTAGTCTAAAATATAAGATGTGCAAACCAGAAAAATTAAAACACCTTACACTCGTTCAATGGTTAAATGTCCTTTGAAATACACGTATCAGAGCTTTGTTTGACCTTCACAAGATTTTCCTAGAAAGGCCTATTATATAAGTCAATAACCAGATATGTGCAGTTCCGTCATATTCCCAAGGTCATACAACTGGACAAGATTTGAGCTGGAAGACAAAGCAGTATATTTTGACTCCAAGTTTATCAATCCCTTAAACTATAATCCTAGATAAAAATTATTTGAAATGTGGCATGTTTGTGAAGGCATACATTTATGATTTTTTGTTTGTTCTCAAAGTACTTTATCATTGGGTTAGGAAAACTTGATTAATTTGTAATAACTTTATGCTTACAATTAGTAATTCTCTTTATATGTAAATGTACACACATATTTGTCTATAGCATAAAATTATTGTATATATAATGTATAATACATCATTACATATGGTATATACAATATGTAAAACATATTATATATAGCATATCTATTGTATTCTCTACAAATATATGCAACTTATTATGGAATATATAAAATTACAATAAACAAGAGAAATTTTTGTTTTGTGGGAATAACTGTATCATAAAAATAAAGGCTAAAATTCCTTAACAGTAAAACTAATTAACTATTGTAGATTAACAATTTAATTCCAGCAACACAATATGAATGTTAGCAAGAAAGCAAATTATTTGCAAGGACAAAAATTACCCAAATATTAGACTGGAATTTAAAACAGAGTTCAGGCAAGGTGCATTATTCTTTCCCAGCTGTTCAGTTCTTACTTTGAAACATCAGCGGCTCTCGCTCCTGAGTATGGAATTTTAGAAGTCCTGTTGGTGTAAGCTGAGGAACAACCAAGCTTCTGCCTATGATGCCACCCCTCTTGTTGAACATAGAGGAAGCCTAAACATGCAGCTGAAGAGTGTGGATGCTGTATGTATTGAAGTGAAATATTAAGTTTACTTTGACCTTTGAAAAGACAGCAGAGAAGAAAGCACCATAGCTTAGGACACCTTTGATTTGGAAGTAATATGTTTCAAAAGATGAGAGCTGTGACACAGATTTTTGGTATTTTAAGTGGAGTTTTATTTTAAAATTCTGCCTCTTTTTTTGTTTAAATAAGAGATTTCATCCTTATTAGTTGATCTCACTATTTATACCTCCATGTCTAGATACATGATACTTCATTTGATGTAAATAATGTCCATAATCGAAACAATTTTCATAGAATTTAAGAATGTATATAAGAAAGCTATTGATAACACAAAATAATTATTAAAGGCAAATGTTGTTGCCATCTTAGCCACATTAAAATTAAGTCTGCTTATATCACACAAAGAATGAAAAATAATAGATAGATATTATTATAATTTTAAACTTTCCTTAAAATATTTCTCAAAACATAAAGCTGTTAGTTTTATCAGTCTTACATACAAATATAATATTAGCTTTTGAAATAAAATCTTTAAATATGAAGGACAATGGTGCATTTTACTAAAGAGCTTGTCATGCGTATAACAGTTAAAAATGCAGAATGGAAACCATTATAAGAAGATGGATTACTCTCCCAAATAGCCCAGTGAATGGAATACAAAAGTTATTAGGAATGACATTGGTGAAGTAGTGCATTAGGGATTTTATTATACAATTTTAATTTTAAAATGGCCAAATTGTGTCCTCTGTTATGGATAAGACAATTCAACCATGAGAATAAGTGCTGAAACTGTGTGGAGAAATTAATTAGGGTGTGGCTAGTAGAAGGAAATCAATAGTGTTAATGAGTCATCCACAGGATATTTTCAATGTACTTTGCTTTTTCTTTCCATTTTTTTATTTTTCAGATTAGGCTTCATGACAATCACTGTTAAGTACAGAAAAGCAGAACCTATTTCATATGGGCAAGTGTTCCTATTACTCATCCACAACTGCTACTTGTGTCAAATTAACACTCCAGATCATGAATTGCAATTATTTTAGACTTTCACTAACTCCTCATTATACTGCTACTATGACCTTCACTCTAGTTAATAAAACTTATCTACCATTTTCGACATCTGTCTCTTCTTTTCCTTGAATTTACAATTTCCTTATTTGGTATATCGTCCACATTCTTCTTCTCCAATTCACACCTTTAGTCAAAACCTACAACTTTTCATTGGCTTATTTTTTTATAGAATATCCAGAATACTTCTAGTTATGCAAACTAGTCAGTTCCTTCCCTCCAGCTCACTGCCTAGTCTAAGCATGACAGAACAAAAGGACAAGAGAAGGAAGACGTAACACGAAATAGAAAGGAAAACTTGCTTCGAATCTTTCTTGGAGAAGATGAACTATAGGCATCTGGACACAAAAGAAACAAGCAACTTAGTGTAAATAAGAAGAATATACAAAAAAATGGAAGTGGGACAAAGGAAGATATAGTTCAAATTGGTGAAAAATGAGAAAATGAGAAAACAAAGTGTGGGAAGAAATGTATAAAAAAGTCTAATGAAAATCAGCAAGATCATTCTTCAGTGAAATAAGCAATAGTGTCCAAACCTGGTTCAGAGCAAGCACTCTGGCTATGGCTGATTGGCAGATTGTAAAGTCAGGGTTCATGGATGAAAAGAAGGGAGACAGTCATAGGGGGACTAGCATCTCAAAAAGAAGCCTAGAGGAAGAGGAAAAAGCAAAGCTGAAAAGAAGCAGGAAGCTTGGAGAAAGGTAATGAAAGGAAAAAAGAGAAAGAATCCAATAAGCAAGCAGAAAAAGAAAATATAAATGAAACTCAATGTCAATTAAATGGACATTGATTAGGGCCAAAACATATATAAGAAAAAGCCTCAATATTTTAAGATTAATAAATATTAAAACAAGAAGGAAAGAAAATGTTGGAAGGGAAAAAATAGCCATTATTAATATACATAAGACATTTTAAAACAGATAGTTGATTGTATAATTAGGTTTAGAGGCACTGCACCATGAAAGACAAAACTTTGGTAGCTATAAAAGAATGCCAGAAAGTTCCATAAACATCAATTCCTCAAGGCAGGGAAGGGTAATCAAAATAGTTACTGGTTGACATGGAGGTCATTTTCTTCTTGTTGATACGAAATGTAGGTAATATTCTAATGGTGCCGTACACGCGTAGTAGAGGAATCTAATCAAAACAATTGCCATTACAAATAGTGTTTAACCAAAAAATTTCAAAAAGCAACTGGTTTGTTCAAATCCTAAAACTAATGCCAACTCATTGTGAAAGGTGAATCAAAAGAAAGTGAAAAGATCCTTAAGTTCTAAATATTAAAAAGTCAAATTAAATGAAAGAGTAAAGATTTCAGAGCTTTCATTTCTCCAACTGAAATTCATTCAAGATAAAGGAACATGAGAGGCAAGGATATGAGTTGAAGCTATGTGTAAAAGAGTATGTGGTTATTTGTGCAGATGAAAATAAACTATCAGAATCTAGATGGCATAATACAGCACAAAAAGTGTTTCATAAAATTATGTGTTCATTCATGACATGTATGATTACAGATAAATCAATACAGAGAAATAGTTGTGTTAAAATAGAAGCTTTAGCCAAATTAAATTTAACAGAGCTTAATTGAGCAAAGAACAATTTATGAATTGGGCAGCCTCCTGAGCCATGATAGGCTCAGAGACTCCAGTGCAGCCATGTGGTGGAAGAAGATTTATGGACAGAAAAAGGAAAATGATGTACATAAAATGGAAGTGAGGTACAGAAGCAGAAGATTGATTAGAGCTCAGCGTTTGCCTTATTTTAACATGGTTTGAAAAGTTGGTTCCCTTTGATTGGCTAAAACTTGATGATTGGCCCACGAGTAGGTTATAGTCTGCTTACAATCCCATTGAGGTTATAGTTCTCTATGTACTGAGAAAATTTTAGGCTGAATTTAAAATATGTAAGGAGTCAGCTTTACACTAAACTGGATTTAACAGTTGCACATAAGAGTACACATGTTAATATAATACAAAGAGAGAGGAGAAATGAAGTCCATGCTATATGAGCCACTACCTTTAAAAAAAAAAAAAAAAGCCTTTGTAAGAATAAGCCACTTTCTAAAGTTATTGACTTTAAACTACACAATGATTGTTTTATTGGAAAGATTGATCAAAATAAGTTTCAACTTGTCTGTCCGGTGAGTATAACTATGTAACTCACCTAAACAGATACTAACCTGGTAAAGAAAACCTGTACAAGCTGTTATTGCATTCTGACCCTTATAGGAAGACCAATTTTTTTTTTTTTTTTTTTTTTTTTGAGACAGAGTTTCGCTATTGCCGCCCAGGCTGGAGTGCAATGGCATAATCTCGGCTCACTGCAACCTCCGCCTCCCAGGTTCAAGTGGTTCTCCTACCTCAGCCTCCCATGTAGCTGGGATTATAGGTGCCCACCACCACGACCAGCTAATTTTTGTATTTTTAGTAGAGTTGGGGTTTCACCATGTTGGCCAGGATGGTCTCAATCTCTTGACCTCATGATCCTCCCACCTCGGCCTCCCAAAGTGCTGGGATTACAGACATGAGCCACCACTCCCGTCCTGGAAGACCATCTTTAGCGTGATACTCAGGTGGTATATACTGAGTCAGTCCAAAAAATCAATCTACAGGTAACTTTTATTTCCTTAGTAAATATGTAATAAGAATCTGCTATGTGCTAGATTCTACCATTTTAAAATATAGAACAAATTGAGGAAATGAAAAGTTTATGAAACCTAGATAAAATATAATATGAGTTTCCTTGAGCATAAATAGCACACAAAGCACGATAGATGATTTCCAGTGAGGTTCTGAAGTTAAAATTCCTAGGAAAGTGAATCAAACAATTTTCGCTGTTGCACATATCCAGTTCTCTAACTGCCCCTATGTGATTAAGGCTGAGCTATTCTTCCCTCTTAAATATTTTTTAAATGTATTTCTTAATTTACTTGCAACAAAATTCATCCCATGTGGTCTATGGTTCGATGCAGTTACAAATACATAAAGTCATCTTTCCACCATCACAGTCTTGGTACGGAATTGAAACAGGAAATTTTCCCTGTTGTCTGATGGCGGTGGTTCATTTACTCAGCCTGCAGCTCTCAACCGCTTGCGGGAAGGGGAGCACTCAAGTGAGCGGATGCAGGGGCCAGGATGAGTGCTTCTGAGCTCCAGGTGGAGTAGAGCTCTGTGCAGCCCTGCCGCAAGGTCTGAGGGGTACCCGGGACCCCTGGAGCCCCAGAGGGCATGTGTTACAGTGTGCTCTTTTAGCTTTGCTGTCCACAGACAGCTTAAGCGTTTAACAGCTCAATGTGACAGCCCTCTGCATCCTGAGCTCTTGTTCAGAGTCCAGGAAGAATCAGGTCACGCGAATGAATTCAAGACAGTGAACACCACGGGGGATTTTATTGCCAATGAAAGTGTCTTTCAGCGGGATGGGAGCTGGAAAAGGGGTGGAGTGGGAGGGTAGTTTTCTCCTGGAATTCAGCCATGCCCGGCTGAACTCTAATCTGAGGTCCCATAGTCAAGCCATCCCTCTGAAGTCAAGCTGCTTCTCACCAACGTCTGGCTGCTGCTTCTCTTTTCTCCTTCTCTGCCTCTCTTCTGCCAGTGGAGCCTCGGGTTTTTATGGGTACAGGATGGTGGGTGGGGCAGGCCAGGCTGGCTTTGGTGAATATTGTCACTTTGCGCGACAGGTCTAGGCTTGAGGCCCTTACCGGGGACCGCCCTCTTCGACCCAGTATTTCCCGGCCTCCTGTCTGTATCAGAATCATTTCCTCAAATTCCCTCCAGCTGCCTCTTGTTGTCTAAGCCCTAGCCGAGCACCTGGAATCCACTGATCTGTTCTCTGTCCGTACTTAGGGTCTTTTAAAATACGTTACATAAATGGAATCTTGCGTATATAGCCTTTTTGATCTGTCATTTTTCAGCTAGCAAAAAAATCTAAGATATATCTGCATTATTGAGAGTATTGGTTGTTTCTATTTGTATTGCTGAGTAGTATTTCCTTGCATGGTGATAACAGTTTATCTGTTGAGCAGTTGAAAGACAGTTGGGTGATTACTAGTTTGAAGCTATTATGAATCAAGCTAATACAAATGTTCACATACAGGTTTTTAAACAAACATACTTATTTGTCTACAAGAAACATACTTTAAATATATAGTTGGGTTAAAAGTAAAAAGATAAAGTAATTTCTACCATGGAAACACAAAGAAAACAAATCTGAGACAGACATAATCATTTTAGACAAACCAGATGGCAGAACAAAGATTATTATCAGGGATAAAGTGGGGCCGTAACATAACAAAAAAGAGTCAATTCTCCAAGAAGACATATCAAATATGAACTTAGAAACTCAAAATACAGGAGGCAAAAACCAGCAGATTTGAAAGAAGTAGGAAAACCCACAATTATTGTTAGAGATTTAATACTCTCCTCTTAGTAATTCATAGAACAAGTGTAGTGTGTTTAACCCTTTTCCCATTTGCCCCGAGGATACTCGCCAGTGGTGCTTGCAGCTGCAGCAGTTACCCTGAGACAATGTTGCCACGAACTATTTCACTTTTATTATTATTTTTGCGTCATTCTAATATGTCAACTTTGGAAACAAATGACATCATTCTACTTATAGCATGCTGTTTTTAGTAGTGGTTTTCCTTTTACAAAATACAGTACTTCTCGATCGCTGAAAATGTCAAATCCTAGAAAATGTAGCATTCCTACACCTACATGTGATGTTAGCATCATTCTTGAACAGTTGTTGGCCAAAGATTCATTTGATGAATTTAATTTTTCCAAAATAGACAATTCTGATGATTCAGATGATTCTGATATTAGTTCTGTTTAGACGAAGACCAGGAACAGTGTTTATATTCTTTTTCACATTGAAAATTAGTCAGATTTGCTTCAGCCTCAAAGAGCATGTTTATGTAAAATTAACTGAGCACTGGCAGTGAGCTGTACTTGATTTTTCTAAACAGGAAAAGGATTAATAATTGTCCCCCCAGAATTCGTGTCTACTCTGAACTTCAGAATATTACCTTTTTTTGGAAAACGGGTTTCTGCAGATGTTATTACGAGTAGTTAAGGCCTTGAAACCAAATCCTTCTGTTTTTAGAGTAGGTTCTCAATCCAATGACTGGTGTCCTTATAAGAAGAGGAGAGGTTTCAGATACACACAAAAAATACACAAGGCCATGTGAAGATGGAGAGAGAGGCTGGAGTGATGTCAAGGAAGACCAAGGTTTGCTGACAACCCCCAGAAAGAATGAGGTATGCTATAGTTACTCCCTCAAAGCTTCCAGAAAGAACCAATCCTTCCAAGATAATCTGGTTGGTTACTTGGTTGGCTGGGTTTTTTTGGTTTATTTTTCAACACTGTCTGATCCATCTTCCAGGCCTCGTTTAGAGGCTGGCTCATTCTTCTTGAGTCTACATTCCAACCACTTCCCTTATCCAGTTCTCATTCTTCAGGGCACTCTGCACCCTCCCCAGTCATCCTGGTACCAGGTCCCAGACAACCAGAAGCAGTCCCTATCTTCAGCCTTGACACCTGGAAAATTATTCAAATTGGCCAATCCACAAGAAGCAGGCAAAATCTGGCTAACCTCATCCTGCTTGCCATATATAAGCTGCCCCTACAGTGACAGCTTGCTAATACCTTGTCCCTGAGGGTGTAACCCCCTGAATGACCTGCCTGGAAAGATTCTCTCCTTTCTTCTTCTTTCCTTCTTTCTTCCTTTTTTTTTTTTTTTTTTCAGACTGAGTTTCACTCTGTCGTCCAGACTGGAGTGCAATGGCACAATCTCGGCTCACCGCAGCCTCCACTCCCCAAGTTCAAGTGATTGTCCTGCCTCAGCCTCCCAAGTAGCTAGGATCACAGGCATGCACCACCTGGCATTTTTTTTTTTTTTTTTGTATTTTTAGTAGAGATAGGGTTTCACCATGTTGGCCACAGTGGTCTCAAACTCCTGACCTCAGGTGATCAGCCCGGCTTGGCCTCCCAAAGTGCTGGGATTACAGGTGTGAGCCACCATGCCCAGCCAGGTTCTCTCCTTTTTAGCTGTAACAAAAGGTTCTGCCTTTTCATCTATGAGTGTTATCATATTGTGTCCTGCCATCAAAATAATCTTAAAATCATAAAACACTCAATTCCAATAAATAGAATAGAGAAAGGAACTTCACAGGGTTGAAAACTGGCAGACATTAAGAGATGGAGTTTAACAACATCAGTAATGACATGTTGATATCGTGTCCCTCATAATATAAGGCAATGAGAAGGGTACTTCTCTTTGTGATTCTCCCCCCAAATTCATAACTCAAGTTATGAGAAATATCAGAAAAACCCCCAAGAAGTCTAAATAATACCTGGGATACCCTTTAAAATTCTTAAGTTCATGAAAAATAAAAGAAGACTAAGAAACTGTCATACATTGTAGGAGACTGCAGAGACGTGACTAAATGCAACACGGCATCCTGGTTTGGATTCTGGGATATTAAATGAAAGTGGATCCGTGTAATGATGTGTCTACAGAGTTCATCAACCACAGCAAATGCACCACCCTGGTGGGATGCTGTCAATGGGGGAGGCTTTGCATGTGGTGAGGGTCTTGTAGGAGATTTCTGTACCTTCTGCTCAATTTTGTTCGAACCTAAAACTGCTCTAAAAAATGGACTATTATTTAAAAATAAGAAAAAAGATAACAGTAAACAAACTGTTGAGTTTACATTATTGTACTAATATAAATGTCTTTATTTTGATAAATGTACCATGGCAATGTACATTTTTAACCCTAGGGGAACCTGGGTAAGAGGTATACAAGAACTCTGTACTCTTTTTGCAACTCTTTTATAAATTTAAAATTATTTCAAAGTTCATTTGAAATACAAATTAAAAAAATCAGTTGACCAGATCTTCATGACTCTATTTTAGGACTATTTTGTTTCATTAATCCATATATATCCATTTTTTTTTTTTTTTGCTAATACTGCATTTTCTTGATTATTGTAGCTTTATAGTAAATTTGAAAGTTAGATTGTTTGAATTCTCCTTGTTCTTCTTTTTCAGAATTGTTTTGCTCTCCTAGCTCCTTTGTTTTTCGGCTTCCACTTGCCTTCTTTTGGTTTAAGGATTTTTTATAATTCATTTTTTTCATCTATTGGCTTATTATTTATACCTCTTTAAAATTTTTACTATAGTTACCCTAGATTTTACATCATTTACTATTAATTAGTGACTACTTTTAAGGAACATTATACTGTTTCACATGTAAAGACTTTATAATAAGAGAGTCCCAGATTCTCTCTCCTATTCTTAGGCTATTCTTGTCACACATTTTACTTTACATGTGCTATTGAAACACGATACAAGGTATTACAAGTATTTTTTATAGACAATTACACTTTACTGCAACAACGACAAAAGAGTAAGTTTACTCTATCTTCATTTATTTACTTCTGGGTCTCTTTATTTATTTGTGTATGTTTATGTGTCTGTTTGGATTATATTTCCTTGGCCAGAGAAGTTTTAACATTTCTTGAAGTATCATGTCTGATGACAGTTATGCCATTTTGTCTGGACAATCTTTGATTCTTTTTCATTTTTGAAAATTATTTCCCTGTGGCATAGAGTTCTTGGTTTATGTTCCTTCCATCCTCCCTCCCTTCCTTCCTCCCTCGCTTCCTTCCTTCCTTCCCTCCTTCGTTCCCTTCTTCCTCTTCTTTCTTTTTCTTCCTTTCCTTTCCTTTCCCTTTCTCTTTCTTTCTCTTTTCTTTCTTTCTTCCTTTTTCTTTCTTCCTTTCTTTCTTTCTTTGTTTCTTTCTTTCTCTTTCTTTCTTTTTCTTTCTTCTTTCTTTCCCTCCCTCCCTCCCTTGCTTCCTTCCTTCCTCCCTTCCTTCCTTTTTCTTTCTTTCTTTTCTTTCTTTCTTTCTTTCTTTCTTTCTTTCTTTCTTTCTTTCTTTCTTTCTTTCTTTCTTCACTTTAAAGCTGTGAGTTCATTTTAAGTTATTTTCTGGCTCACCTGACTTCTGACAAAAAAAGGAATTGTTTTATATTCATATAGTGTGTCTTTTTTTTTCTGGCTGTCCTCAATATTCTCTTTGGCTTTGGTTTTGAGAGTGTTTCCAGGAAGACAGTGATTCTTGCCCTTCCCCAGCATTTTAAGGCTTCTCTTCCTGAAAAAAAAATCATGGAGAAATTCTGTATGGGGGCTCCTGCCTTTTCCTCCATGGCTCTAGATACCTTTTGTTTATGATTGAATCTGTATTTTTTACGTAAGATGACATAGACATATGGGGCAGAGGAAATATTCAGGGAATCTGCATTTTTACATAAGACAACATAGACAAAATGGGGCAGGGGAGCAATCAGATGTGCATTTGTATCTGGTGGGTAGGGGGGTAACTGCACCTGTAAAGATAAGTTATCAATCTACACTGCCACGGTGAACTTTTAACAGAAACAGCTTAGGGTAAAGATTTTGGAGCTCACTAGGAATTTCCTTGGGGACAAAACACAGGGGAAGCATGTTGCTTTTCATCTTGCAGCCCTCTTATTTAGGAACCAAAAGGGGAGGTAGGTTTGTGTGACCCAGTTCCCAGCCTAACTTTTCCCTTTGACTTACTGAGTTTGGGGTCCCGAGATTTATTTTCCTTTCACGCTACCGATTTTATCTGCAAATTCTCAAAGTTCATATTTGAATTCAAACTCTACTTGTTTGCCAAAGACGGGTGTTTGTCACCAGTTAAGTTTTATAGAGTAATGGCGTTTCACTTTGTTGGTGAGATGATTTACTTATCTCTGTTCTTTCACTCTGATTTGCATTATTTTTCTCTCTTCCTGTTTGGTTCACCCAAATGACTGTGTGCGCAGAGGTCTTCCTGTGTAAAGAAATTGACGCTGATGTCAGCCTGCATTCTCTTTGATAAAAATAATTGCTGCCAATTTTATTTCAACTTAAAAGTTTTTCTCCATTAAATTCTTTATGTGACTCCCCTTGAGGAAACCCTTTGTTTGAAGCAATTTGAATATTCTTTTATACTCTAACATTCTTAAATCTACAAACTCTATACTACCATGTAGGCAAGTCAGGAACACAAACAGGCGCCTTCTTCTTTTGTATTTTGAGTCTGAATACTTAAAATCTGCTTGTAGATTACTTTGATGAGTTGAATATGTTAGATATAGCAGCATAGCGCTCTTCAAGCTAATTTCAAAGAGCTCTGAATTCTGCCGCGGTAACTTCAGGTCCAGTGCCAGCATCCTTGCTGGAAAGATGAATACAACACTGCGTGTTGGTACTGAAAATAAGCAGTTTTTTGCTTTTGACTTCTTATTCCTATTCGTATTCATACTATCAAGGTATGTTTTGATTATAGTGTGGCTTTTATTGAAATCTCTTTACAGAAATAAGCTGAAGAGATTGTGCTAATTTAATTATTCTGTGCTAGATTGCATTTTTCACTGCAAATTGATAAACTGGTTTTCTCAAAACTTCATGAGGGATACGTGAGAATCAGTCTAAAGTTTAGATCATAAACAAAAATAAAATAACATATCAAAACTAGATCTGGGGAAAACAAAAACATGCTTCTCACACACATACAGAAACAAGAGTTTGTACTCTTAGCTAATGTAATAAGTTTCCATATGATATTGGCACTTCTCCATTTAACATTTTAAAATCAAGTATAAGCTTATATATTTATATGTAAATTAAACATTATTAAATATATTTATAGGTAAATTAAACATATGTTTATATATTTATACATATTGAATATTTTAAAATCAACTGTGTGTAAAATACCATAATAGACGCTGCAGGGAATACACAGATAAGTAAAACAGCTCTGTATTTTCAGAAATTAACATTTTCATGCTGAACATGTAGTAAAACTAGCAGAAATTTGCAAACTCCTTGAGCAAAGTGCTTTTCTTAATATGTCATCTGAAAGGAATTTAGCACGTTCGTTTATTCAATCGGTAAATATATCCTGGCACTTACAGTGAGCCAGGTACAATTCTAGATGCTAGGATTAAATCTGTCACTACTTATTTGAGTTCAGCATGAGAAAGGTTGTGACCCAGAAAATACAGAGTCCATTGAAAGTGCCAGAGTGGGTTTTGTAGAAGAAATGATAGCTAAATTGAGACTTAATGGAGAGCAAGAGGTAAATAGGTGAATGAAAGGGGCAGAAGCTGTGGTTCGAGCTGACTGCATATACTCTACCTTTGGAAATATGATGTGAGAATGTAAGATACAAAAGACTATAAGAGAAAATATGTAATAATTGAGCTCTAGAATCTAGGACAGCGATATAACAAGAATAAAACTGTTGGCAAAATGCTTTAAGTCAGAACACCCTCAGTGAAACTCCGGCAGCTTAAAATGGGCACACTGAGTCTTATATCAAAAACTGTATATTGAAGCTGGGCGAGGTGGCTCACACCTGTAATCCCAGCACTTTGGGAGGCCAAAGCGGGTGGATCACTTGAGGTCAGGAGTTCAAGACTGGTCTAGGTCAACATGGTGAAACCCCTACTAAAAATACAAAAAATTAGCTGGGTGTAGTGGTGAGTGGCTGTAATCCCACCTACTCAGAAGGCTGAGGCCGGAGAATCGCTTGAACCTGGGAGGTGGAGGTTGCAGTGAGCCGAGATGGTGCCATTGCACTCCAGCCTGGCCGACAGCGAGAAACTTTTTCAAAAACAAAACAAAATAAAACAAAACAAAAACCTTGTATATTGAGAATATTTGCAAGAATAAGAATTAAACATTTTTGAAGAGAATTTATCTCCTCAAAGAATTTACGAGTTCAGGACACATTTATTTATCCAAAGTACATAATAAATAATTTCAATTATTGGAAATAATTACTAATAAAGTCAGGAGAGAGATAAATAGATACAAAAACCTGGATATGAGTAGAGGTAAATGTTCCATGGGGGATAAATGTAATGTTTTTAAAAATTATTTTTTAAAAAACTGGCAAAGAAATAACTGATTTTTAGGCTTCTTTTCTGCATCTGAAATTGATAGAAATGTTCAAGTTCATTACCAAGGAAATTAATCAGAATAGAAAGATGTACAGCAAAACAAGAACAGATGATGTAAGCTTTTGTAGAGGGCTGAGGAGAATACCGTACAGGAATAGACTCCTTACCAAAAGATATTTATCTTCTGGAGGAAGGGCTTTGAAAGATGAAAAGAGGAAAATGGGGTAGGTTAAAGAATATATTCGGGCTGATAGAGAAGTACACTGTATTTCAGATTATGTTGGCAACTATTTAGAGAAAGAGTGAAGATGCTAAATGAAAGAGAAGAAAAATTTTAAGAACAGAAAGACATAGCGTCAAAACAGTTACTTTTTAATTGCTTCCTGTTTCTGACATGGTATGTATATTTATGTAAAAATATTGATTGAAAACTGGTCAATCTATCCAACAATATTGACAAAAATTGGTTTTCAAGGGTAACAAAACTTACTAGTTTACAGGAGAAATACAAAAGCTTTTCAATAAACATGTTGCGAGAATAAATGAGATGTCACCCCCACAATTTTTTAATAAAAGTCAGTGAGGACAAATGAGATAATATACTGAAAGTACTGTGAGCATCTTATAAAAAATGCTATATAAATTCATTGTATTCTCTTTATTATTATAGGGTTTCCCTAACCCACACGTTATTGAATCTTTAATGTGCAAAGTATTGAAAAAAAGAAAACATTTATAAAATATAGGTTGAAAGTTTCTTAAACAATAATTTAAATATATTACACATATATTTAATAAGTAATTTGATGTACAAAACATGGAATTATATATATATGTATTCTTCATTTACAAGCATTTAATGGGCTGAGACAAATACATATAACATTGGAAGGAGTAAGTAATAGAGTGGGATGACTGTATTAATGTGTAAATCCATTAATCTACTATTTATTAATAATTTAAATAGTTGATTACTAAGTTTACCTATAACATCGGTTAATTATTTATTAGAAGTGAAGCATGCTTTATTGGCTTAATGCTCAGGTATTTTACAAAATGTATGCTACAAATTCAAAATAACTTGCCTAAAAGCTGCTATTAAGTATTTATAATCATCCAATGTGAAAGCATCCTACCATAACAGAGATAAATAGGGATCAAGAGAGAATAAGTAGAGATTAGATTTTATGAAGTAATTTTCACCTTTTGTGAATGTAGACATAACATAAAGTATGGTCAATAAATCTCATTTTCAATGCTTTTCAAAGTTGAGACTAAAATTATCCTTATCTACACCATACATATACACACAAAAAACATTAATAATATAAGAAAAAATTGCATAAAGGTATTATGGGATGTCATGTCAGTCCATGTTGGTATTATTTATAGCATTTAAATTAAGGTCACCTTATTCACTTCTCTTATTTTTTAAATGTAGAATTATAAACATGTTTTTTCCTGTAATGAAAATTGTATTTATTTTTATAACTGAGACACATTTCTGGCAGTAACTCCCTGAATTGCAATTTAGTTCCTGATTTGTGAATAGCCTAAATCCATACTAATGATTTACTAAAGGGTTAAAAAAGCAATTAACAGTTGTAACAAATATGGCTTCAGCTTCTCATTGGAAGTAAATTAGCTTCTTTTTAAGTTTGGAGCACTATTATAATAATTTGACAAAAAATACCTTTCTGACCTGACAGTCTTAAGTCAAAGCCTTCAGCATTGCACTAACTCTTGATTCAGGTAGCACTTTATTCCAAAGTCCGACGGTTACTAACAACTGTCTTGTGAGAAATGCTAAAATGTAGTGGTGAAATGTATTAGGGACAATTATAGCACTCATCCTCTCTCTATTCCCAAGATAACATCTAATATCACAGATATCAATAACTATCTGAGATGTGACAATACAAGAAAGCTTATATGGCATGTGTTTAGAAAAACCACACATCTAGCCTAGCATGATTGAGTGTAAACCAGGGAACTCGACGGCTGGTGTTTGGAACTTAGTCTAGGGCCCTGGGCAAGCTGCTTAACCTATCTGAGTTTTGATTTTCTGATTCTCAATAGAGATAATTGGAGGGGTGATGTGAGCAACAATAGGTAAGTTTCAACACTCCAGCTTTCTTCTGCACTCCTAGAGCCAGCTTTTAAAAATCCTTTTAAATCCTTTTAAAGATACCAGCCATAGCTGAGCAGTGCTCTCTCCTGAGAAGTCTGATTACTTCAAGGGCCTTTGTCTCAGCTCCTGGGTTACCCATGGCACACAGAGTCAAGAACAAATGAGGCTGGAACCTGGAGAGCAAGGGGGAAAGGCATAGCAGATACAATCAGAGGAACAGGGCCTACTCATGTTCATAATTAGGTTCAAGGTTTGCCTCCTTTAAGGAATCAGTTTGACAATCTGTTATTCCTCACTAATTATATATGTATAAAATTAAAATATATAATTCCTGTTATATGGTAGCTGATTTTCATTTACTATCTATTTTATTCTTTAATATAGATAAATATATTCTTAAATGAAAAACTTGGCTTCTTTAATACAGTTGTAAATCCCATAAGGACAAAATCTATGCTTTTTTTTCCTTCCTTTGTCCCCAAGTGCAGGGTACTGTATTCCACAGAATGTAGAAAAGCCAAGGGTTTCTTCAACAATGCTATGTAACTTTTACCCAAAGCCACTGAAAAGGAACTATTATATTTTTATCCCCCTCACTCCATTCCATGCCTGCATTCTTTTCGGGACTCTGTATCAATGTACGGTTTCCCTAAGATAATTGTGTCTGTGCTTTCTGCAGCCAGTCAATACCTGATTCCCTTCAATTGCTTATACTGCCTCACAGAAATATAATTTGTGCTGATATTTTATCAGCTTGTTTTAGCATGGACAAGAGTTCTTCTGAAGAGCAAAACTTCAGAATATTTTATTTGACATCAACATGTTTATAGAAAAGAAGTATTTTTCAAAAAGTATTATATTATCATATTATCTAAGAAATTTTACAGAAATATTTTCATTATAACACCTGGTAACAGATGGATTTCAATAGGGTTTAATATAGATTATTTGAAATCTTTTGTCCATATCGTCAGATGTCAATTTTTGCAGCTATATTTAAATGAAAATCTGTGGTTGGAGCGTGGTTTAGTATCCACCAGAGTTGTTGTTCTACAGCTGTGACAAACCCTCAGCTGTTTGTACTTGAAAGTTCCTTTTTATCCAGGCAAAGAGGATGAGCCAGTCTTGGGTGTAAGAGAGAGCAACTCTATTTTACATTTCATTATGCAGGCTACTTGTTAGCCAAGGAGATAAATGCTAGCTGCCTGACTTTGCTACACTGGAACTGACCAAGATAATTATTGGTATTCTGCAGCTGTTTCAAGAGCATTTTTGCAGGAAGAGTATGAAGAGCCGTAGATTTCTTTTATTTTGCCAACAACCCATGATAAAATAAGATCATGTGCATACGAATTTAAAACATAAGAAATGGATCCATAGAATATAGTTTCCTACCAGTATTGAGATCTCAAAAGAGGCAAAATACAAAGTTCATTATTCATTGAGCATAAACCTTTGAGCTATTCTGTGGTGAATCTAAAATTACAAAGGAGCTGTACCCTTATCTCTCCTTTATCTGGATTAATTAAATCTGTCTATTTACTGAAAATATGACACACTACTTCCGGAGATAACATTTTCTCATTGTGATAAGTGTATTTTTTAAAATAAAAATTTATGAAACTAAGAATATTTTTAAAATATAAATAATTTTTGAAATTTTCAAAATGTGCTATGTTTTTGGAAATATATAAAAATGTTCTATTTATTCGGTCCTAGTGATAAACAGTCCTGGGATCTAACTAAAAAATAGTTTGAGGCAGATTTTGAAGGTCTTCAAATGCAAGCTAAGTCATTTGGAGTTTATTCTGTCAGTCTATAAGGGCGCTTTGAAAGTTTTCAAAACAGAAGAGTAGCAGGGGAAAATAGAGGCAAAATGTTAGGAAATATTTAATGCTGAAAAGTGTTAGGAAATATTTAATGCTGAAAATATGCAAAAGAATTAAAGAAACTGAAAAGAAATGCTCTAGACTGAAACAAATTAAGAAACAAATGTAACCATGTAAAGGTCTAGATGTCTTCATTTCAGAAATAGCTGTACTTTCTGGGCTTCCCTGACACTGAGTTACAATTTTCCTGTTCCAAATCTACTCTATGTTTTCTTCACCATGTGACTTTTTCTTCCTTTTTGCACGTGAAAATTCCATATTAGTCATCTGCTTTCATCCCCTCCTTTTTTTTCTGTCTTTTCCCCTTCCTCTCCTTTCCCGTTTTCTTTCTCTCCCTTCCTCTCCTCCCCTTGCCTTCCCTTCTCTTTTCTTCCTGTTACTTCTCTGCCTTTCTCATTTCTCTCTCTCCTTTCTCTCCCTGCTCCTTCTTCCTCCCTTCTTCTTTCTCTCCCACCTTTCTCCCTCACTCTCAGTATATCTATATCCATATCTATATTTATATCTACATATACATCATGGATTTCCTTCAGAAATATGGTAAGGGTTCTAGACCCTTAAAAATGCACTTGTGTGGCCTATCCGATTATAAATTGCAATTTTCTAAATCTAAAGTTAGAGTAAACAATGAACTTTCTTGAAAAGGTAAAATCTACCTGACTTACTATATAACCCTAAGGAAGTTAATATCACAGCCTCTCTGAATCTTAGATATCTTATCTGTAAAATGCGGAAAATGATGATGCCTATTTCCTAGATTCTGTTATAAGAATTAGATTATTAATGTAAAGTGCACAGTCCTGTCTCTTATATAAAGTGATCTCTTAATGAGTTTGCTCTTTCATTACCTTATAATTCTGCAGGTCAAATGGAAAACAATTTATAACTTATTTTTTCTCTGTTCTTTGCCTTGAGGTATATGGCTTGTATTCAATGATTGGATTTAATCATAAATTGCACAAATACTATCACTTCCTAATTCGAAATACTATAGAAGGAGGGAGCAACTTAACATTGGATAAGGCATTTACATGATTTCAGCCTAATAGTATTTCTCTGTATGGGGAGAAGAATTACTAACTACATTAAAGTCTCATTTTGAATGGCAGAAGAAATGGTATATTTGAAAACATATATGCATAATTCCAACAAGTTACAAGGCATTGCTTAGACCGATAATGTATAGAGAGATTGACATACATACAATATATTGTGACTTAATAGATTTCTCCTGGTAAGGATATTTTGGAGTTTAAAGTTTTTTCCTGCATACTAACTTCAAAAGGATATAGATCAGCCGTATATTTTTCTTTTTCTTCTTCACAGTTGATAGACTAGATTTTAAAATTCTTTTATTCTTTTCTTAACTAGTTATTAACTAATTTATCAGATATTCATAATGAATCCCAATAAATAAGTGATATGGAATAAAAACTTACAAGCCTTATTCAGTTCTAAATACATGTAGATATTGCATAAATATCTATGTATAACATGACTAATGTTTAGACCTTCTGTTTTTCTTACACTGTCTTTGAATGTTTGAGCTCTAACAAAATAACTAAAACATTCAAATACAGTGTAAGACAAAGCAGAAGAGAGACCAGTTAGCTCAACCCACTCCTTTTGCTGTCAAGAGAGAAAAGAAAAAACAAAAACAAAACTAAAGAATCAAAAATCATGAGTAACTCAGCCACACCAATGAATTATTTAGCTCAAAATTGACTTCAGATCTTTTATCTTTTTAACATTAACAGAGTAACTGTTTTAAGTTCTGCCAATGATCAGTGAAGTTAGATAGACAAAAATATTCTTCAGATGTACTGATGTAGGATATTAACTACTTGAATAGTTCTACAGGAGCATTCAATCACTTTCTTCACATAAGTTTTGGTTGGGCCACATTCTCAGTGTCCCAACACAGCCTTCTTTCAGGGAGTTTCAATTTATATATACTCTGACTTCATTCAAATAATAATATGAAAATGATTTAATGGCATCTTCTGTTTATGTAATGCAAATATTAACCCTTTTTCTAGTCAGTCATTTAAAACAATAATTTTGTTATCCAGAGAACGTAACCTATCATACCTTGAAGATCTTACTATTTTTGATACTGTTTTTAATACTTAAGTCGATTTGCATAGTTACATTTACAATATTCAATCTCTAAAATGCGAGAGCTCTGAAATATGAGATGTTGATATTTTAAGAGATAATTATTGAAATTATTTATCTTATGAATTTAATTATATTGCTTAGAGAAAATCTTTGTTTTTCAGTATCGAAAACATTTCATTTAAATGAAAGCTAAAACAACCAATTTAAAAAGAATCACATCAAAATATTACATTTTTTCTTTTCATTTTCATTTTGATTTACTAAGCATAATAGCATACATGAAAATATTTAAAGAGAATCACATCAAAATATTACATCTTTTTTGTTTTCATTTTTTAATTACTAAGTGTAGTAGCATTCATTAATGAAGTATGTCTACTCACATACTCTTAAAGTAGTCCCAGTGGTAGATTTTGTCTGCTTTATATTTTAGTCACAATACACATATTTTAAATGAGATCATCAACCAAGCAGTGAGGAGTTATCCAATAAAATGTAGTTTTTTCCTTCAAATTTAAACATTAAATTATATCTTCTTGTAATATTTAGTCTTGAAATTTGCTCTCCCTTCTTTATCACAATGTTCAAAACAATGTTCAAAACTGACTGAAATATATATCTCTATATATTTTAGAAGTATTATCTAGAGCATCGAACATTACATTTGATTTTTATGCAGTGATAGCTAAAGAGCTATTGCAGTACAAAGCAACATTCATCCCTGTCCTGTGCAAAATGACCCTTTTGTTATATTATTTCTTTGTTAACATTTTAATCTGGGCTTGTAAATTTGATCCAATTTTATTTGGTACAGTAAGATGTTTGCTTTAGTCTGTTTCATCTCATCTTCATATTGCTGTTTCAAATGTTAAAAGTTTTAAGACATCAATTTACCACATGTTAGAGCTGTGAGTAAATAAAGAATAAATGAACAGTAATGCCTTAGGAGACTATACAGTGACCAATGGTGGAAATAGTATTAATTAAGTTTTATGAATTTCTATTTTCTCTTTTGGATTATTTTACTTAATTTTAGAAAAATGCTCGGGGGTTATGGCAGGTATAGTCAGGTTTCTGATTAGAAGCCTCCCCAGCCCTCTTCTTTTTATTGGCAATAGTCCTGGTTTTGTGTGATTAATTGCCATCTACTGATCCATGTGCACAGGAAAACCGTCCCACTAGGAGTTGGATCATTACTGGATAAGATCACATGCACATGTGACCTAAACCTAGCCAATGGGAATCAGGTGAGGTCTGCTGGAGGGCATCTGGGAAAGATTTTCTCATTGATAAAACAGGTACATACAGAAAGGAATGTGTTTGTCTTTTCTGGACATTGTAGTTTCTGCATGTGACGACTAGAACTCAATAATGAGGAACTTGATTACCAGCGTCCTAAGAACGGCAGGATAGAGAGCTGCAAATAAGTTGGATTTGAAGAACGGCAGGATTAAGCTGGTTTGTTTACAGTCATCTAGAGCAGGAAACATTCTTTCCAATATAAAGGTGAAGACTGTGTCTGGGATAGTTGGAATTACTGCACAAGGAGCTAAGGAGCTTCTTATGTAAACCATGTAAAGTCGGACTTGGTATTAATATTCAAGGGTAAAAAGAGAGGGCATGTCCTTCAAATATAATTCTTCATTCCCCACAAGCTCTTTTTCTCTTCTATCTCCTGGTTACATTTCTACAAACTTGAGTAATGAGAAACAATATATGCAACATGCAACAGACTGAGGGACTAAAATGCTGGTGTGGAATGTTCTTATCCTTTAGGACTCCTTTAGGAATGCTGTGTCATTAGTATTTAAATCACTTCATAAATATTTCACTTTAAATACCATTGTAATGTCTTGTGTATGCCTTAATTTATGTCTAACATAATGGTTTTGTATTGTGAGACAATTGCATCAGGGCACTTACACGATTAAAAAGAGATTTAATGGAGCTCTCTATCTTTACTTTGAGTTGACCAGGGAACAGAAAGCAAAAGGCCATATCATTCCTGCAAAAATAGCTTCTTCTATTTAGATACTTTGCACTGTGAAAGAAAAATCAACATATATATGTCTCACAATATGTACCCAGAACTGTAGACATTAGACATTGTAGCTTAAACAGGATAAAGCAGAAGAGGAAAAAGGTGGGAAGCAGTGGGGAAAAACCCTCAGATAAACTTGTATGGGGAAACTGAGAGAAGGGGTAAAAAAATGGAGGCTACAGATGAAGGTTAAAATGTGGGAAATTTCTTGGACTATTTAAAGCTTTATTTTCTTTGACCTCTCTTCTGTTGTTCTTCGATTAGAATGTCATTGTAGGGTGTTCAAGAATTTGAAGGCCATATGGATACATTCCACAGAAAAAATATCTTCTCAAGGATAACATCGTTAGTGTTTCATTATGCACATGAAGGAATTTAAGGTTTTCTTTTTTTGTAACTCTGTTAAAAGTATATCTGATGAGAACTCAAGAGGCATATTTCTTTTCCTAAACATCTTATGTCTTATTAGTTTGTTCTTACTGTATTAATTGAAGGTCCTCATGAACTTCCTGAAAAGCGAGTTATATCTTAAACATTGCATCTTTTATAGTATCAAAACAGCAATTGCTGATTCATTAAAAATTGTCTTTTGAAAAATTGCCTCATGACAATAGTGTAAAATCATCTCTTCTTGTTTGCCCTCAATGATCATATTCTTAATCATAAAGTAACAGTTTAGGGATATTTTTAAATTCCATTCAAATCTAGAAAAAAATGGAGAAAATTTGCCACAAAATTACAAGCAAGAGCAAAACTAAAATTTTAACTTGTATAAGTGTTTCAATAAGATTAAAATCATTAAGATTGTATGCTATTACTTACATATTTACCCTTCTGTGGAACTTATATACCATGTAATTTTGATACTAGAAAGAGACATTATGGAGAGTTGAGTTATCATTTTCAGGGAAAAGTGCACTGTTTTCCGGCTAGGAAAGTTACACATTGCTGCAGCATTGAAAAGAATCACAGATCCCTCTAAATCTGAAGGAAAATAGGGCCAATAAACTCATATTTAAATTAACACTGACTTGATCTCCAAAGACCAAGAATAGATTCTCGTTCTTGAATATTGCTTTTTTTTTCTATATAACTGACATCCCAGGGTAAGAGCCCATGAAAGAGAATAGCATTAATTTTCACAAGCTTTGCTTAGAAGGAAAGATCGAGAAATAAAGAAAATATAAGAAAATTGGAGAGACATGGAGAAGAAATGAGAATGTCCAGAGAATCTTTGGAAAAGAATTCCAGAAGGATACAATAAAGAGAATTAGGAAGACAGTATTCAAAGAAAAGAATGACTGAGGATATTTCAGAGTTGATGAAACATATAATCTCATATTATAAAAACTTATGAAGTCTGGAAAAGTATTTTAAAATATATTTCTAGATATATACCAGTAAAAGGCAGAGAAGAAAGAAAAAGATAAGGGATAAGAAAAACAACCCATAACCTAAAAAGAAAAGTTACCTTACGAATGATCAGACTTAGAAAATTCCCAACAGATTTTTCAAAGGCAACAATAGATGTTAGAAGATAAAGGACACTAACAGGTAAAGGTGTAAACTTCAATAAGGTCAAAACAACCATGTTCACCTGGAGGTACAAACAGATCACAGTTTATTAAGAACCCAAGAGCATGCTCTAGTCTTCAAGTGTCTTGTATTGTGAGCCAAGTTGACTCACTATAGCACTTCTTTCAATACTATAATTAAATAATCAACATTGTTGCTTCTTTTATAGAATCCTCATTTAACATTTGGAAGGACACTTTAGGGATTTTGTAGTCCAAAGCATATGCCCGTGTGTCTTCTCTGTCTCTATGCTGCAAGTTGTCATCAAACACTTTTTCAGTTGACCTAGGATGAATTAGAGCAAGGAGATGGATGAGTGACTGCATTTGTACCACTCTTCAATGTCAATGGTAAGGGCATGGCAAGTAGCAAGATAATGTCTGTGTCACATTTTGAGACACTTGAATATAACTCAAGTCAGAGGAATTAGGTGGCTGTGGAGTGAACTTCTTTTAAATTACAACATTCTCAAAAACACACAGAAATACAGTGAGGTAGTGTAATGTGCCACATAATATTGAGTATGCTTAAATTTATGTATGGTACAAACTATTCTAACATTTTCAAATTGCTGACAGTAGAAAAAAATAGTATAATTTTGTGCAATGAAACCATGACTCAACAACAGTTCATGAAATAAAGTCACTTTCGAAAAAGACTAAGGGAAATTATTTCTAATACTATAAAACTGGAAAATAGTGATGAAGTATTTGGGAAAAAACATGGATCCTAAATGAAAGATTCAAGAGGAAAAATTGACATGGGGAGGCAGAAGTAACAATAAGAAAATGACTAATATGATGAATATGCAATGGGTAGAATTATAATGCTGAAATATGCAGCATGTACCACAGAAGTTGGTAGTCTGAATTGAAGGAGTCTAAGATCCCCAATTATTTTCAACAAGCATAATGGTGATATTTGCTTTTAAAAGTTAAATTTAGCCTGGGTGCAGTGGCTCACTCCTGTAATCCCAGCACTTTGGAAGACTGAGGCAGACGGATCACCTGAGGTCAGGAGTTTGAGACCAGCCTGGCCAACATGGTGAAACCCCTTCTTAACTAAAATTACACACACACACACACACACACACACACACACACACACACACACAAATTAGCTGGGCGTGGTGGTGGGCACCTGTAATCCCAGCTACTTAGGAGGCTGAGGCAGGAGAATTGCTTGAACCTGGGAGGTGGAGGTTGCAGTGAGCCAAGATCATGCCATGGCACTCCAGCCTAGGCAACAAGAGGGAGATTCCATCTCGAAAAATAATAATAATAATAAAAGTTAAATTTAAATAACAGCAATTTAAAGTGAATCACTATGAAATAGAAATATGGTATCAGTTGTTCAAAATAAAGGCAGTAAAAAGGAGGATGCTAACCCCAATCAATTACAAGGAAGGTAAGATGGAAAAAAAAGAGAAAAAGCAGGGTTAAGGACAGTGGGAAAAGTGGATGGAAGTAACAAATAAAAAAATATCCAAAATGATAGCAGCTCACCAGTTACAAAGAAGATAATACCTTTAGATTTTTTTCTCCAAATCCAGCTATACACCACTTACAAGAACACAAAAAGATTGAAATTTAAAAGTTAAGAAACAGAGTTAATGCTGCTGTATTAACACAGAAGATTGAAGAATGTTAAATAAAAAAAATAAGGCTAATGAAGGTCATTACCTCATTATGATTTAAAAAAAAACTACCAGGAAAAAGAATATAATGTTAAATTGAAATACACCTCATTGCATATTATTTGACAGAATGACAAGAAGAAATTGACAAATTTATATTATAGTAGAAAATATTCCAATTGAACTGTTTCCTAGGTATCAAGAATATAGTGAAGCTTCATGGGTTGGAAAATTCTATGTTAAGCTTGAAGCAATGTAGGATGCAATAAATCCCCAGCCTTGAGAACCTTCTTCTAACAATCGACTTGACAATTCTAGATTGTCATGTTGACATGTCTCAGTTGTAAAATAACTTACTCATATTACAATTTTTCTGACCTCAAACATTTTGATATTAATAACACTATATATGATAATACTTTTAAAATTATAGAACTTCTATTTCTAGAAAGATGAGATAGATGTACTTTTCCCTATATCTTTACTTAAGTTCAACTAAAAATACTTAATATGTTATAGTGTTTAAGAGGACTCTAAAAGTGGAGGGAAGATGGCAGACCAGCCAGGGACCTCGGCAGCCAAAGATGATGTGCTGGTGAGTGCTCTGAGCTTTCATTTTGCCTCCTGTGCCCCAGACTGTGTGCAGGAGAAGCTGACGACCCAGAAATGCCAATTTAGGCTCCGATAAAGCTTGCTGTCTCTAGCCAGCTGACCAGAAAATGGAAGCATAGCCATGCAGAAAATGTACAGTCAATACTGCCCAACTCTAGCCACAGAAAACACAGAAAACAAAATGTGACCTCAACCCTTACCCCTCTTCCACACCCACAAAGGCTGCCTGGGGATCCTGGACTTCCACACTTCCCAAGTTGTAATGAGGTGACCCAAATACCACCATCCACCACTAAGGTGGTCTCAGGGTAGGCTGAATAGGGAACTGGGACATTCAGCCCTGCCAGGGCAACTAGAAATCATTTTCCACAGTGTCGGAGACTACACGGAGGACCTGGACGTCCACGCTCCACCCGGCAGGAACAAGGTGCCACCTACTCCAAGTGGGTAGTATCTCATGAAGGTCACTACCTTCATTATGATAAAAAAAAATTACCAGGAAAAATAATATAATGTTAAATTGAAATACACCTCATTGCGTATTATTTGACAGAATGACAGGAAGAAATTGACAAATTTATATTATAGTAGAAAATATTCCCATTGAACTGTTTCCTAGGTATCAAGAATATAGTGAAGCTTATCATTATAAGTGGGTCGTATCAGAGGAGGCATGTGGAAAGGAGGCTCAGGGCTTTCATCTCTAGCTAGAGATAACAAGGCAACTGCTGACTCCATAGTATCGGCAATAAGGTGCCCAGTAGGGTGGTATCAGCAGAAGCCTGCGAGAAAACCAGCATATCCATCCCTCCTCAGCAGTAGTGAGGGGCTGCTTCACACCTTGGGTGTCAGCAGCCTCTTCATTTTCACAGCCCACTCCTGCCTTTGTAAGGCTGGAGCCTGATGACTCTGAGTGTCATAATCGAAAGACATTTTTTTCTTTGAGATGGCGTCTCACTCTTGTCCCCCAGGCTAGAGTGCAGTGGCATGATCACTGCTCACTGCAGCCTCCTTCTCCTGCGTTCAAGGGACTCTCCTGTCTCAGCCTCCCAAGTAGCTGGGACTACAGGCACGTACCACCACCACCATGCCTGGCTAATTTTTGTATTTTTAGTAGAGACACGGTTTCGCCACGTTGGCTAGGCTGGTCTCAAACTCCTGGCCACAAGCAGTCCACCCACCTCAGCTTCCCAAAGTGCTAGGATTACAGGCATGAGCCACCGCGCCTGACCTAAGAGACATTTTTATTTTAGCGTGGGCTCCTCATTTCTTAGGCAATGCAGTCCTCTCAAAACAGTCTCTTCTAATCCTTTCAATGCTACTAACCAATCCAACATTTCTTTCTTAGACATAACTTTCAAATATGTTTTATTTCATTTCTTTCTTGTTCCAGTGCCACTTTCTCCAGATCATACCACCGTATGTCTTGATTACATTGTTCAATGAGAAATGTTACTAGTCCTGTGCTATCCAAGACTATTTTTGGAGTCTGGTTCTCACTCCTTTACGCAGGCTAGAGTGTGTGGTGGTGCTATCATAGCTCACTGCAGCCTCGACCTCCTGGGCTCAAGGTATCCCTTCCAGGTAGTTTCAACTACAGGCACACATCACCATGCCCAGCTGATTTTTGTATTTTTTGTAGTGACGGTGTCTCACTATGTTGCCCAAGCAAGTCTCAAATTCCTGGCCTCAAGCGATCTTCCCACCTCAGCTTCCTGAAGTGCTGGGATTACAGGCGTGAGCCGCTGTGCCCAGCCTCAAAGACTTAAATTTTTCATTTCAACTATTTGAAGTGTAAGAACAATATGATATTCTAACTCTGAAAGTTCAAGAATTTATGGAAGCTTTATAATCTATGTATTTTCCTACTTATAAATCATTCAATTATTTTCCAAACTCATCTTTCTCATCATATTTTTCCAAAAATAGTGAATTCTAGCCAACACCTACAACTGTGGCATTATTTTCCAACTTCTTGGCTTATGGCTTCCAGCACAATGGCATATACCTAGCCCTTTTATGCTGTCAAAGTTGATGATTTTATCAAAAGTTTTCCTGACACATAACCTATATCTTTGCAAGTTTCAATATAAAATTCCTTATCTTCCACACCTTAACATTAAGCCAATGACACATAATAATTTGATATCCCAGCTCCCCATTTCTGGGTACAAATTTGCTTTATTTAGGGTAGGCTAAGCTTCTTTGCAGGAATAAAGAAATCTCAATATCCCAGTTAGTTTAATAGAGTGAAGTTTTATTCCCTGCTCAAACAAAGGCATGTGTTCTCATTTATATAGGTCTTCTGAAAGGTTCTCCTCCATGTAATCATTCAGAGACACAGATGCTCTGTATAGTGTTTCTACTTCCACTTAGAGTCTTGGGGTCTTACATGAATTCCTGGTATCTAATTGAGCAATGAGCAGGAGTGGGAGGACATTTTCATGGGCCATTTCCAAGGTTAGGCTGGAAATTGGTATATGTCAATTCCAATGTCCCAGACACATTACATGGTGGCACTGGGATGTAAGGGGGCTCAGTGAATGTAGTTTACGTGTGTCCCACGAAAAAGAGGAGCTCTGCATATTGGTCAACACAAACAGCCTTCCATAACATGAAGATTGAAACACTTGGTTGCTAAACGGGCAGCTCACTTAAAAGGATTAATATAAAAGAACAGATAAATGTATTTTGAGGGCCAAATTAGCAATCCCCATCCCAAGTGTAAACTTCCATTTCTTAAATGTCTTACGAGGCATGACAATTGGAATCACTATAAATGAAAAATAAACAAAATAAAATAAAATAATTTGGCCGGGTGCGGTGGCTCACACCTGTAATCCCAGCACTCTGGGAGGCCGATTTGGGTGGATCACGAGGTCAGGAGTTCGACACCAGCTTGGCCAACGTGGTGAAACCCCATCTCTACTAAAAATACAAAAATTAGCTGAATGTGGTGGTGGGTGCCTGTAATCCCAGCTATTCGGGAAGCTGAGGCAGGAGAATCATTTGAACCCGGGAGGCGGAGGTTGCAGTGAGCTGAGATAGCCATTGCACTCCAGCATCGGCAGCAGGGTTAGACTCTGTCTCAAAAAATAAATATTCATATATTGCAATTTACTAAATAATATGTCAATGCCATTTTATAAAAAAAAAAAATCTTTTGCAACTACATAACATTTTGTTAAATTGGCACTCTCCAAATTTGAAATGCTTCAATCTCTATTTATCAAACATGTATTGAGTACCTACTCCATGGCAGACATGAAGTGGGGGAATGGAAGACAGCAGTAAACAGGAAGGCGTGGCCTCTAACGATGAGGAGTGCCTTGCAATTGATCTGGTATTGCTCCAGCCACATCCACAATGCCCCATAGGGTAATTGTACCCCACTTTGAGAAATTGTCTTACACACTCTTTAGAGCGTCATAGGTTTAATTATTTAAAAATTGCCAAATTTAATCAGGCTTAAATGACCACTCAAGGTTTTACAATTAATGAGTTATTTAGATAGGATCAAATTTCAGCTCTTTTGGAATCTTTTCAGGTAGATATCCTATATTTTACCTCCCTGTTAGTGTTGATGCTAGAAACAGGGCAATTCAATGATATTATGGAGTGTCTGAAGTGAAAAGAGATACAGATAGAAATAATAACTGAAATTCCAGGAGTGTTTGAAATATCGGAAAGAGACCAAGTGGTTTTTGTTTGTTTTGTGTTACATTAATACACAAACACAACATCTCTGATATTTGTATTTAAGGTTTCTTTCATTAGACGATGGAATAAGTATGAATTAAATCAACAGTTTATTTTATATCCTTTAATAAGCCAATAAATTATAAAAGTAAATTATTTTTCCCAAATATGGCAAGATGGCATACTCTCCTTAAAGCACGAAAAGATTTATTTAAACATATATGGAAAATTATAACTTTGGACACTACATTAATGAAGGGTAACCAGGCTCACCTGACGTTGTTCCAGTTAATATCCCAGAAAGCAGTCAATCACAGAGAAAATATCCCATTTGGGGTTAATGACAGATGCTGAAATGTGATGTCCACTAAATTTAGTTTTTCAGGCAGTTTTTACACTGTATCTAAAACTTGCAGGATAGGAAGTACGCAGAAAGTGAAATTCCTGTGACAATAATTGCCTTTTTTTCATCTGAGATATTTTGGCATCCTTATTCATATGCCCCCAACGTCAAAAGGAAAATCTGTAATTATTTAAAAATCATTTTCCCTAATAAAATGACTATTAGGATTTTGCACATGGAGGATATACACTCAAGTAATACCTTATTATAAGAAGTGTATCTTAAATATTAATTATTTTATAACATATCAAAAGAAGTCATGTTGCTTGTAATTATTTTTTGAAGCCACATGTGGAAAATATGAAAACAAAATTTATATTTTACGCAGAAGATTCTTGTCCTCTTTTATCAAGTAGCATTTGTTGTTACTCACCATTTTCTGTACACAGCAACGTGGGTTTGTTAGCTTGACTTACATTTCAAAAGTAAGAATCTTTTCTGTTTTAGCTCAGTGCCAGTTGTGTGCTGACTGCCTGCTGCTTCCCAACTACGTATCTAGAATTTTGTAGTTTAATTGCCGCTTGCACAGTGGTATTGCACATAAACACAGCAGCTGCTACTGTATGTTGGAAGTGGCTCAGAAAAATCTATGGACACTGTTCAGCTTTGACTAAAAAGCCAAAAATTTTAGACCCAGCTGCATTACTCTAACAGCTTGACAATATAGTGCCTTAACAAAAAAAATCCTCAACTCATTGGAAGTCTTCTTAACAATATGTTTGAGACCACACCAGAGAAAATTGCGTGGAACCATGTGGTCTGGTAGTAAAACTTTCCAAAAATGATTTTCTTTCTCTTTTTGCTAGTCACTGAGGTCCTTAGATTTTTGTTTGTTAGTATTCTGTATTGCTGGAGATAGCCACTAGAGATAAGAAAACTAATATGAAACTTGGATATCTTCCTGTTACGAGGTAGAGATTATGTTCTTTTTGGTTAAACCAATTAAAAATGTGAAACCAAAGGGGAAATGCACAGAAACCTTGACAGAAGACCTTTGCTGCAGCATCTTGCAGACTTTAATGAACACTCTGTTGTGTGGAAGAGGTAGGCCGATGTCACATTAAAATGTAGTCATGAAAAAAAGTTTGTACTTAAGTGTTTCCACATAACGTTTTTTAAAGGGGAAAAATTAGAGAGCCATTTTTATTTTTTATATATAAACAAAATTCAGGGCATTGCAATAAAAGGAGAAATCAAGACCTCATTTGTTTCACTGCTGTGATATTTATCCCTTCATTATGCAGAGTTTTCTGTGTTTCAGTATTTAGAAGCCCAAGTAGCATTATCCGAAGAGTAAAACTTCCCATGAAAATTAGAAGTTGGGCATTTATAGGTTCGCTATAGAATATTGTTGTTATCTTGATGTTATTTTTAACCACTCTGATGAATTTAAGGATGCCTAAGATTGTTTAGCAAGAGTTTAAGCTCAATTTATAAATATGACATTATCTTTTAAACAATGTTAAACTTGCTATACAAGTCCTGTATTGCTAATATCTCTGTCAATGTTGGTGTATTAGGTACCTAAGAGAATGTTAAGGTCTGATGGCAAAATGGCCTCCTTTAGAGTGCAGTGGATCCAAATCCAGTGGTTGATGTCTAGTAGTTGAAGAAATAATTCAGTTATTTATGTTCTCTCCCAGTATTATAAACATTAAGAGACATACGTGGTATACCTCGTTCACAGAGTCACATGAAGGAATTTTTCTGAGGTAAATATTCTGCCATAGCAATCTAGCAATAAAAAATGTCTTCAAAGATTTTATTAAATCAATGGTAGCATCTCGTTGACTTTTTACCTAATTAACTCAAATGACTGTAGCAGCAAATAATGAGGAATTGGCTGAATAAGTCAATTTACAAATTTGAATGCAATAGAATTATATTTAATTTAATTATGAAGTCATGATCCTATATAGTTTTTAAATAGATCACATTGACTATTATCCCATTTTAGGGTGAAAATTTAATGCCAATATTTCAATAGTTATCAGCAGAGAACCACTTCACCTGTAGGCACTCAGTTATTTTGTTTACTTTTCTCATTTTCTGCCATTAATTGGAGTTAATAAAATTTAAATGTTATAAATTATTTTCCATAAAAAATTTTGCCACCAGCAAATGGCAATGTTAATACCCTAAAGACTCAAGGTTTCTGATGACTTATTTTATGTAAAAAGAATATGCTAGGCACACTCATATTTGGGCAAACTGGTAAAGACAGAAAATATAGAGCTATGTGAAAACGGTATAACAAATATATCTGAAAGCTGATGACAATGTAGATAATTTCTGCAACAGAAAGTACTGAAAAAGACTAATGGAAAAGAAAAGATGTGGAACTATCCTCCATCCAAGTGTATATGTCTCAAAGATTAATGACTGTCAAGAAGAGAGAGACACTTTGAATAACAGAATCCAATGATACTAGCTGTCAGAGTTGATCCTCTATTGAAAAAGGTAATTTGCATAATCATAACCATAATTCATATAATATTTTTATAAACCAATTAATAAGTCAGCTTTTATGCTGCTATGAAAATAAACAAAAACAGTCTCTCTGTGCATTTAGCAATAAGCATTTATTTCTTCCTCATGTCACAGGAAGGCTGAAATTCAGTTATGACTTTTTTCTCCATCTGGATTGTCTGACTCAGCTGGACTTTGCTTCATATATCTTGTCTTTCCAGAATGCAGGATGAAGGACTGGCTTTTATTTGAAACATTATGTTCTCATGGTGGAGAGAAAGGAAGAGGTCCCAGGAAACCATATGAGCATATTTAAACCTTCTGCTTAGACATGACATATGTCAGTTCTGTTCAATATCCGTTGAACAAAACAAGACCCATGGCCAAGGCAAAGTCAATGTGGCAGATTGCAATACTCCTCTTACCATAAAATACTGTCAGGGTGGGAAGAGAATAATTTTGAACAAATAATAAGACGTGCAGTTGTCACCAGCCAAGTTGTTGCATGTGGCCAATGTATTTATATCGACCATTTAATAGTAATTAATTCTAGTTCATTTTTAGCAGCTTAGTTTTATAAATATTCAATCCTTTGGAATTCTTCCTCCTCTCCATTTTCCAACCAAAGAGGGCTTATAGACGTGTGGGTGAAATAGGTGACTTAGTGACATCATGATGCTTGGAGAAAGGTTTCTCTGAATTTACAAAGGTTCTTATGCTGTTTTGGAGTTGGCTAGATCATTTTTGTAATGGGATCCTATATGCTGATATCTATTAAAGTGTTTCTCATGGACTTGTGAGCTCTTCTCTTGGCTCATTCAAGCCTAGATCGTCTTCCTCAGAGATATAGCTTTTCATTCGTTTCAAAGATGTGACACTTCCCTTTAATTCACCGCTACAATTTCTAGTTGGACTCTATCTACATTGTCCTTTCTTCGGTCACTTCTTCTTTCACTGGAGTGGTCTCACACAGATTTTTCTGGCACTTATTGCAGTTAAATTAAGGCTGTGACCTTGTTCATGTGACAATTCTTTCTTTTTTCTTTATATAAACAGTTTATTTACTCTACACAGCAACACAGACAAAATGCCACATAAACACAAAGGAAATGACACAGAGCCGAGATGCGGGCTGACCTGGGATCTGAGACTCAAAAGCAAAACAGAATACAGCATACCGATGGGTCTTGATTCTTTATCCAATTTGCCAGTCTGTGTCTTTTAATTGGAGCATTTAGCTCATTTACATTTAAGGTTAATATTGTTATGTGTGAATTTGATCCTGTCGTTATGATGTTAGCTGGTTATTTTGCTCTTTAGTTGATGCAGTTTCTTCCTAGCATCAATGGTCTTTACAATTTGGCATGTTTTTGCAGTAGCTGGTACCGGTTGTTCCTTTCCATGTTTAGTGCTTCCTTCAGGAGCTCTTGTAGGACAGGCCTGGTGGTGACAAAATCTCTCAGCATTTGCTTGTCTGTAAAGGATTTTATTTCTCCTTCATTTATGAAGCTTAGTTTGGCTGGATATGAAATTCTGGGTTGAAAATTCTTGTCTCTAAGAATGTTGAATATTGGCCCCCACTCTCTTCTGGCTTGTAGAGTTTCTGCCAAGAGATCTGCTGTTAGTCTGGTGGGCTTCCCTTTGTGGGTAACCCGACCTTTCTCTCTGGCTGCCCTTAACATTTTTTCCTTCATTTCAACTTTGGTGAATCTGACAATTATGTGTCTTGGAGTTGCTCTTCTCGAGGAGTATCTTTGTGGCATTCTCTGTATTTCCTGAATCTGAATGTTGGCCTGCCTTGCTAGGTTGGGGAAGTTCTCCTGGATAATATCCTGCAGAGTGTTTTCCAACTTGGTTCCATTCTTCTTTTCACTTTCAGGTACACCAGTCAGACATAGATTTGGTCTTTTCACACAGTCCCATATTTCTTGGAGACTTTGTTCATTTCTTTTTATTCTTTTTCACACATAGGCTCAAAATAAAGGGATGGAGGAAGACCTACCAAGCAAACGGAAAACAAAAAAAAGGCAGGAGTTGCAGTCCTAGTCTTGGATAAAACAGACTTTAAACCAACAAAGATTAAAAGAGACAAAGAAGACCATTACATAATGGTAAAGGGATCAATTCAACAAGAAGAGCTAACTATCCTAAATATATATGCACCCAATACAGGAGCACCCAGATTCATAAAGCAAGTTCTTAGAGACCTGCAAAGAGACTTAGACTCCCACACAATAATAATGGGAGACTATAACACCCCACTATCAACATTAGACAGATCAACGAGACAGAAAGTTAACAAGGATATCCAGTAATTGAACTCAGCTCTGCACCAAGCGGACCTAATAGATATCTACAGAACTCTCCACCACAAATCAACAGAATACACATTCTTCTCAGCACCACACCACACCTGTTCCCAAATTGACCACATATTTGGAAGTAAAGCACTCCTCAGCAAATGTAAAAGAACAGAAATTGTAACAAACTGTCTCTCAGACCACAGTGCAATCAAACTAGAACTCAGGATTAAGAAACTCACTCAAAACTGCTCAACTACATGGAAACTGAAAAACCTGCTCCTGAGTGACCACTGGGTACATAACGAAATGAAGGCAGAAATAAAGATATTCTTTGAAACCAATGAGAACAAAGACACAACATACCAGAATATCTGGGACACATTTAAAGCAGTGTGTAGAGGGAAATTTATAGCACTAAATGCCCACAACAGAAAGAAGGAAAGATCTAAAATTGACACCCTAGTATCACAATTAAAAGAACTAGAGAAGCAAGAGCAAACACATTCAAAAGCTAGCAGAAGGCAAGAAATAACTAAGAACAGAGCAGAACTGAAGGCAATAGAGACACAAAAAACCCTTCAAAAAATTAATGAATCCAGGAGCTGGTTTTTTGAAAAGATCAACAAAATTGATAGACCGCTAGCAAGACTAATAAAGAAGAAAAGAGAGAAGAATCAAATAGATGCAATAAAAAATGATAAAGGGGATATCACCACCGATCCCACAGAAATACAAATTAGCATCAGAGAATACTATAAACACCTCTACGCAAATAAACTAGAAAATCTAGAAGAAATGGATAAATTCCTGGACACATACACCCTCCCAAGACAAAACCAGGAAGAAGTGGAATCTCTGAATAGACCAATCACAGGCTCTGAAATTGAGGCAGTAATGAATAGCTTACCAACCAAAAAAAGTCCAGGACAAGACCGATTCACAGCCGAATTCTACCAGAGGTACCAGGAAGAGCTGGTACCATTCCTTCTGAAACTATTCCAATCCATAGAAAAAGAGGGAATCCTCCCTAACTCACTTTATGAGGCCAGCATCATCCTGATACCAAAGGCTGGCAGAGACACAACAACATTTTAGACCAATATCCCTGATGAACATCAACGCAAAAGTCCTCAATAAAATACTGGCAAACCAAATCCAGCAGCACATCAAAAAGCTTATCCACCATGATCAAGTGGGCTTCATCCCTGGGATGCAAAGCTGATTCAACATATGCAAATCAATAAATGTAATCCAGCATATAAACTGAACCAAAGACAAAAACCACATGATTATCTCAATAGATGCAGAGAAGGCCTTTGACAAAATTCAACAGCCCTTCATGCTAAAAACTCTCAATAAATTAGGCATTGATGGGACGTATCTCAAAATAATAAGAGCTACTTATGACAAACACACAGCCAATATCAAACTGAATGGGCAAAAACTGGAAGCATTCCCTTTGAAAACTGGCACAAGACAGGGATGCCCTCTCTCACCACTCCTATTCAACATAGTGTTGGTGGAAGTTCTGGCCAGGGCAATCAGGCAGGAGAAGGAAATAAAGGGTATTCAATTAGGAAAAGAGGAAGTCAAATTGTCCCTGTTTGCAGATGACATGATTATATATCTAGAAAACCCCATTGTCTCAGCCCAAAATCTCCTTAAGCTGATAAGCAACTTCAGCAAAGTCTCAGGATACAAAATCAATGTACAAAAATCACAAGCATTCCTATACAACAATAACAGACAAACCGAGAGCCAAATCATGAGTGAGCTCCCATTCACAATTGCTTCAAAGAGAATAAAATACCTAGGAATCCACCTTACAAGGGATGTGAAGGTTCTCTACAAGGAGAACTACAAACCACTGCTCAAGGAAATAAAAGAGGACACAAACAAATGGAAGAACATTCCATGCTCATTGATAGGAAGAATCAATACCATGAAAATGGCCATACTGCCCAAGGGAATTTATAGATTCAATGCCATCTCCATCAAGTTACCAATGACTTTCTTCACAGAATTGGAAAAAACTACTTTAAAGTTCATATGGAACCAAAAAAGAGCCCACGTTGCCAAGTCAATCCTGAGCCAAAAGAACAAAGCTGGAGGTATCATGCTACCTGACTTCAAACTCTACTACAAAACAGCATGGTACTGGTACCAAAACAGAGATACAGATCAATGGAACAGAACAGAGCCCTCAGAAATAATACCACACATCTACAACCATCTGATCTTTGACAAACCTGACAAAAAGAAGAAATGGGGAAAGGATTCCCTATTTAATAAATGGTGCTGGGAAAACTGGCTAGCCCTATGTAGAAAGCTGAAACTGGATCCCTTCCTTACACCTTATACAAAAATTAATTCAAGATGGATTAAAGACTTAAATGTTAGACCTAAAACCATAAAAACCCTAGAAGAAAACCTAGGCAATACCATTCAGGACATAGGCATGGGCAAGGACTTCATGTCTAAAACAACAAAAGCAATGGCAACAAAAGCCAAAATTGACAAATGGGATCTAATTAAACCAAAGAGCTTCTGCACAGCAAAAGAAACTACCATTAGAGTGAATAGGCAACCTACAGAATGGGAGAAAATTTTTGCAATCTACTCATCTGACAAAGGGCTAATATCCAGAATCTACGAAGAACTCAAACAAATTTACAAGATAAAAACAAACAACTCCATCAAAAATTGGGTGAAGGATATGAACAGACACTTCTCAAAAGAAGACATTTGTGCAGCCAACAGACACGTGAAAAAATGCTCATCATCACTGGCCATCAGAGAAATGCAAATCAAAACCACAATGAGATACCATCTCACACCAGTTAGAATGGCGATCTTTAAAAAGTCAGGAAACAACAGGTGCTGGAGAGGATATGGAGAACTAGGAACACTTTTACACTGTTGGTGGGACTGTAAACTAGTTCAACCATTGTGGAAGACAATGTGGTGACTCCTCAGGGATCTAGAACTAGAAATACCATTTGACCCAGCCATCCCATTACCGGGTATATACCCAAAGGAATGTAAATCATGCTGCTATAAAGGCACATGCACACGTATGTTTATTGTGGCACTACTCACAGTAGCAAAGACTTGGAACGAACCCAAATGTCCATCAATGATAGACTGGATTAAGAAAATGTGGCACGTATACACCATGGAGTGCAGCCATAAAAAATGATGAGTTCATGTCCTTTGTAGGGACATGGATGAAGCTGGAAACCATCATTCTCAGCAAACTATCACAAGGACAAAAAACCAAACACCGCATGTTCTCACTCATAGGTGGGAAATGAACAATGAGAACACCTGGACACAGGAAGGGGAACATCACACACCGGGGCATGTTGTCAGGTGGGAGGAGGGGGGAGGGATAGCATTAGGAGATATACCTAATGTAAATGACGAGTTAATGGGTGCAGCACACCAACATGGCACATGTATACGTATGTAATAAACCTGCATGTTGTGCACATGTACCCTAGAACCTAAAGTATAATTTAAAAAAAAATATATATATATATATATATATATATATAAAGCAACACAGCCCAGGCTCTAGAGAGGTGGGGTGGGAGGAAGGGCGGGTTTCCATGCAGCCAGCCCAGGCGAAATGCAGCTCTGCACGGTGAGAAGCATGCCTGTATCTGAGAGCGAAATACTCGCTCCTGGTGGACTTATCCAAGTATAAAAGTTTATAATTTTACAGCAGTTGAAATATTGACATCAATATTAAAATAAAAGAGAGTTTTACATAACAATCAACAACAATGATTGATGTTTTCCATCCCACATAGAAGCTACAGTAGGTGCAGGACTGTAAGCTCTTAAACTTAGTAGTCACTGGCTTAACCCACTGTACTCTTTTATTGGAACCCCCTAGCTATTATAAAATGCTCCACTCAAACTTTCAATGTGTGCTTGAATACATGGTCTTCTTCCTTGAGTAAATATTATGGAAAACTGTTTTTCCCTGAAACTACTATATCCTTCACTACTATAGGAAAGGGACATTATACTGTTGCTCCAGGTCAGAGACTTCAAAGAAACAAGTAGTGTGACACAAGTAGTATCTTTTGATTGCCTTTGTTGTTAGGGATAGTTGATGCCCCATCTTCAATGGTATCCTCCCTTTTTGAAAATTATTGACATCTATTTATTCTGTAGTCTCCTCTTCCCTATTTTATAGCTTCTTAAATTCATGACATACATCCACTCCATCTAATCTGTTCCAGTTTAATTATCTACAAATAGAACCCCCTTCTGTGTTTCACCACTATTAAACATTGGTCTGCATTGAATATTTCAAAATCTGCTATTCTTCTTTTGACCACGAATGCTTGTTTTCTTAAAATGTCTCCCATTTTCTCTTTCTGCTGTATTCTACTTATCTCCATTATAAACTCCAGTTCTTTGAAATACATTGTATTTCTCCCCCGTTACTACAGTTAAAATTTCACTTAACTTCCTCAGCCATTTCTTCCTCATGGTTGGATCCCATATTCGTATACTTATAATATGTGCATTTGGCTCCTTGATCCTCTTCTCTTGTAAACTTTTGTCAAATTCAATTCCACAATTCTTTGATTATTCTATTTCTCCTCTAGGGCTGAGCCTTTTATATAAGGTCATGAAAAATGCTGAGTGATTGTATTTTAAATCCCTGCCATTAAATTTTAACTAGGATTTTGTTATTAATTTGAATTCCATATATTGGTCTCTTGTATCCAAGTTATACTACCTACAGTAGCTGTTTTAATTATTTTCCATGGTCTTCAAAAAATCCACACTTCCACAAGACCTCTCAGAAAATAGACATAAAAAGTATATGTAAATTTCCAGTTTTACCTGGAGCATATCTCTCCACTACCAGTCAGCCTTACTAATTTTTGCAATTCGGGCATGATGTTACTACCTAAGGAATAATGTTCTTGAGCCTCTTGTATACAAGAAATATATATTTTTCTTTTTTATAACCAATTGTTAGAGTATATGGTCTACCCAGATGAATTTCACTCCAATGGAAATAGAAAAAAATCCTATTTTAATTCAGAATTGTCCTAGCAAAGCCAACAATAATCACATCCCTGAACCACTGATCATTCATAGACTTCTCCAGGACACATCCAATTTCTGCGATGCTCTACATGCACACTACTTGCTACATGTGTCCAGACTGATATTTTCCTGCCTCCTGAGCACAGCTGAAATACCGTTTCAAGCAACCACATCATCATTCTCCAGTGCACGAGAAAATCCCACCAGGGAATTAGGGCAAGGAAGGTCATCTTTCTTTCATATCTGGAAAATATTTTCCTAATGTGTTCCAAACGTTAAACAACTTAATAAAGAGATGATGCAAGAACCAAAGGAAATGTTTAATAAAAATATTTTTATGAGAATCTAAGCTACAAAATTTCCAGTGCATTCTGTAAAAGTATTTCCCTAAAATTTTGAGTGTAGTATCTGCAGTAGTACTGTGTTTATTACAGACAAGATGGAAAATAAACAGTATTTCTGCATTGCCAGCAATAAATTGGGAGTTGTTATTTCAGAAATTTTAAATTCCAGATTTGGAAGTTCAAGATCTTGCAGCTGGCATCCATTATACCTCTGCTGCCAAATGCATAACATAATTCCCTGTGTTCTAATTAGATGCATTTGCAAATAATGTAAAGTGTTTTTGAAGGACAAGAGAGAAAATAATTTAATAAGTAAAATCTAAACAAAATATGAAGGACAAAAATGTCACCAATAATTTTATTTTTAAAATGTTATAAGTAATTACACTGAATAATTAAACATTTTGTAGTGAAAATGCAAATAGTTTCTCTAAACTGTATGTATTGTGATAGTAAGTCAATATAAGAGAATAACTGTCCACATTAAATTATATATAAATGGTAAAATAATTTGACATCTGTTTACATAGTTATAGAAGTTAATCTTCCCTTTAGAAAATATACTTATGAATACTCATTCTAAAGTAGATTGGCTTACTATTTTAATTTGAGAATGTAGATTTAAAAAACTGGGGATGAAAGAGGGAGAAAGATTCATTGAAGAGAGGAAAATCAATGCAGATGAAATGGAAAGGCACAATGGAAGATTGTGCTTGAAAAGGTGAGCGTTAGGTAAGATCCTGTGTAGAAATAGGTTGGCTGATCTGACTTAGATTTTACAAATTAGATTAGTTCATTTAAAGTAACAGGAAGGAAGGCAAACGATGGTTTATGAGGAAAGATTCAGGATGTTGGGTAGACAGGTTGGTTGGTTACAGAGGAAGCTCCCTTTGGAATCTTCCCCTCTTCTCCCTTAGTGAAATTAAAAGGAAGTCACCAACTGAGTCTGAAAATTGGGAGATGTTGGAAATTTATGAAGAAAGAAGATAAGGATGGGAAAGCCTTCTAGGCAAGTGAGAAAGGAACTGACTCAGAATATGTAGTTTTAGAAACTTATATTGAGAATTACTTATAATTAGATCCTACAATAAACAACACATAAACGTTTAACCAGCAAGGGCATGCTTTAGTGTTCTTGAGATGCCACCCCACATTGCCCTGGTCTTTAGGGATTCAGGGTAAACATTTTTAAATTTACAAATAATAGGCAATTTTACTACATATCACAATCTTTGGGAGACAGTGATATTCTGGTCCAAATTCAGCAAAAAGTGTATAGATCATCCATTGTAACAATTATATATCGCAGCATGTCAAACCACCTCGAAACTTTGTGGTTTAATAAAACATCCATTCATTTAGTTCCAAATTCTATGGGTTGGTAAATGAGGCTGAGCTACATTGAACAACTCTCTTGCCAGTCTCTGGACAGCTGCTGGTCAGCAAAACACTTTGCATTGGGAGACTGGCTGTCTGTCAGGGGCTTGAGAGCTACTGTGCCATGTGATTCTTTTCACGGAGCAGGCTGACCCAGTTTCTCCCCAAGGCAGTGCTTCAGGTATCCCAGCAGCAGCAAGAGAGATATCTGAAAGACATTTTCAAGCATAGGCTTGGGGCTTGTACAATATCAGTTCTGCCATATTCCACTGTGGCCATTTTTACAATCCATCACACCTGTTACTTAATATTATAATGTCTTGTTTCTCATTTGACAAGATCCCACTTATGGAACAGTGTTATCAGCTTTGTCTTCAAAACATATCCTACATCTGACCACTTCCTTCTATTCCTCTGCCACTGCCTTGTTCTCAGTGCCCATCTCCTGTTCCTGGGGTTATTGCAATGATTCCTCACGGATCCCCTTGGCACCTCCCACTTATTAATCTGTTCCCAACCAAGCAGCCAGTGATTATGATCACTACTCTTTCAGCATAAAACTCTCCAATACCCTGATACCTTTACTCAGAACAATAACTTAAAGTCTTTACCGTGACTTTAATTTCAAACGTGATCTGTACCACCTCTCCATGCACTCTGTCATATCTCAGAATATATTACCTACTATAATTCATCTCACTCTGCTCTTGTCTTCCTTGCCCTTTCTCAAATATGCCAGGTAACCCCCCCACCCCCTCACATGCCTATATATTTGAAGTATTTAAGAAATGATATAATACAGAAATAAGATGGATGAATAAAAGGCAGAAAACAAATTAGAAAACGTGTCAAGTAAAAGAAAGAAATTTTTTTAAAAAATCATGAAATACCTGTCTATATAAGCAGAAATATATAGGCATGCAATTTTTTATTTCATCTTCTAAATATCCACACGGTTTGTTTTCCCTCAGGTCTCTTCAAATGTTACGGTCTCAGCATGGTCTTCCCTGACCATGTTATTTTTAATCCTACCTCTTGATCCTGCCTTTTTGCCTACCCTGGCCCAGTTACTATGTGGAGACAATGTTATGAATATTTTTAGCATACAAAGTCATTAATTCGCATAAGACAACGATAAAGAATGTACTATTCTATCGTCCATTTTACAGGTAAAGCCATTGAGGAGGCATACAGTTCAGTGTCTTAGCTGAGGTCATGCTGTTATTAATTGACAAATCCATGATACAAATGTAAACTCATCTGCGTACACAGCCAGCTTTCTTAAACCAGTTCTTTATTTCTTTGAATTAGCTCATGCTCAGCATGGTGCATGCTTTAGCACTGTCACACTTTATGAGGCAGGTACTATTGCTAACATGATTTTACAGAAGAACAAGTGGACACATAGATGGTTTAAAGTACACTTTCAAGGTTGTACTCTTTGTGGAGCCAGGACTCAAACCCCATCAATCTCATGACAAAGCCCATATTCCAGCTGTCTATGCCACACTGTTTACTCCACAATCTGATCCTACAGTCTCCCAAATCCTTTCAGATTTAATTTTAAGTTCTATAATATGCTCCGCTCTGACATGAAACATATTACAATTTTTTTCTTCTACTTGGAACATGTTTCTAATTACTTTGTTTCTGTCTTTTATTCATCCATTTTATTTCCGTATTATATCAGTCCTTAAATACATCAGCCAGGTGAAGTGGCCTTCCTATGTACATATCATATCAACTTAAAAATCATTCTTAATTGTTTATTTCTCACTGTTTCTTCTGGAAGGAAATAGAGATCCCAAACCATGTCTAGATTATCATTGTAGCTCCAGAATTTTACAGTGCTACTCACATACTAAGGGTTAAATAGATTTTTAAAATAGTAAAAATAGATGTTTTTAAAATAACAGTATGTAAAATAAATGCAAAGTTCATGCCTTAATTTTGTGCAAGTACAAGGAGACAAATATTAAGTACAACAATGTTTTTTCCCATTTCACAAAAAATTTTATGATTTCTTACAACTTAATAGAACAAATGTAAGTAAATCTCCCCAAATCAATCCTGGTAGGTGGGGCTAGAGGGCTGCTTTGTTTGTCCCTTTAGACAAGTCCTGAAGCATTTAATACCATGGAGAATTTTGAGTGAAACCCTCTACTATGGAGGAAAGATCACTGGATTGTCAAAACATTGGAGGGATTCTGGATTTGCTGTTTATTAAGTGTATGATCGTAACTAACACAGGTTATTTTGCTTCACCTGTAAATTGAAGGTTACATTAGGTTATGGTCGGTATCTACTTCAGGCCTAAATTTCTTTGCACAATAAATAATTAGTAAGTGTAACTTAATTCTGTTCCTTCCTAATATATATCCATATATCCTCCCCAGTGTATATGTATATTTTACATAGATCATCCACAAGCTGTACTATCACACACACACACACACACACACACACAAATGGAAGCAGGAAACATAATTGAGCTGCAGCAGGGTCAAATGTAGTCTAAGCTGCAAGGGTAATTTGAACAAGGTTAGTGTCAGAAGCCACGTGTAAGACCCTAACTCAATACGTGAGCAGACACAATATAGCCCTCAAGATATTTGGAAAAAGAGAAACATCCCAACTTGGTTTGGGTACTGAATGTCTGGGAGTTTTACAGCTATTTTGTGCCTAATTATTTCTACATCTCAAGCTTTAGAAATATCCCCAGTAATCTTAGAGCAGAAATGTAGCCTTGTAGGGTTTCTTGGTGTGGGAGTTTGATAGCAGTTACTGACCTCTCCTAGAAACTCTGATGTGAATGAAAGATTTTCCCTCTCTTTTGGGCTCAGAAAGCTGTAATGTGTTTGCCCTGAAAGTTTCAGTGGCCAGAGACTAATAGGTTAATTAGTGTTGCCAATTCCTGAAACATTCTTTTTCCTGCTTTTTTCCTCTTTCTAAGTCTTTAACTATACTTATCAATCAGTCCTCATTATCTTAAATCAGATCCTCATTACCAATTTGGTGAAACTCCGTCTCTACTAAAAATACAAAAATCAGCCAAGCGTGGTTGTGCACGCCTGTAATCCCAGCTACTCAGGAGGCTAAGGGAGGAGAATCGCTTAAACCTGGGAGGCAGAGGTTGTAGTGAGCCGAGATCGTGCCATTGGACTCCAGCCTGGGCAACAAGAGCAAAATTCAGTCTCAAAAAACATAAAAACAACAAAAAAAAGACAAACAAAAATGTATACTTTTAAACTTTTTACATGACACTTTATTTTTATATTCTTCCCAGATAAATTATTTGTATTCAATAATTAATGAAATAAACAGTATGCACAAACAGCTACATAAGAAACAAGGAATTTTCACTCCTCTTTTTTCCTTCTCCTTCCAAATAGCATTATCTAGAATTTGGTGCCCAATATTTCCTGGATTTTCTTTGTAGTTTTACCATATCTATTATATCCATGTTAAGATGTAGATTATATTTTAAATATCTAAATATATGAATTTTCTGGTTATTTTGGCTACTGTCTTTTAATTTAATCTCATTGGGTCAGATATGGAATAATTTTTGAGATAATTTCAATTACTGATACCTTTGTGATATATAGTTGAGTTCACCATATTCATCAATTTATGGAATTATCACTGTTAATACAGGCAATCCTTTCTTTACTTAATCACTTTATTTGATAAAATGTTCTGTTTTGTGTGCAAAAAGAAATTTTAATTCATCGTATATCTCACACTGCTTTTTAAAAATAAATTCAGATAATTGTGTTTTTAGAATCAGCTCAGATAATTATTTGCACATTAATTCATTGTTTCTAATTGCTGTTATAATACTCCATCATGAAAATTCACCACTATTTTTGAGTCCTCTAGGAACAAACATGAGGTTTGCTTCCAGCTCTCTGGTACCCATGAAGAAGGCTGCGTGAACATCTTGTACTGTACATGTCACTTTAGTATATTACTTGACATTTTTGGGTATACCCAGGAAAAGAGTGGTTGATTTATAGTGTATGTGTGACAGATTATAATATTGTTTATTATAATTTACTCCCATCTTTCTCTGCCCCCTGCTGTATGACTAGCAGGACTTTCCAGTGGGAAGTGTATCTACCTGATTTTCTGATCTATAAAAGGTGAGCAAAATGACTATTTTCATTCAAAGTTGAAGCCCTAAGAGCCATTGAGTGTGCCTGACAGCTCTCTTGCTTTCTTCTTTCTGCCATGAAAAGACATATTCCAGATCTGGCATCCCACTTCAGTCCACGGCCCAGAATGAAGACACTTGAAGACATGGGATAGAGAGTTGAGCACAGCTGCAGCCAACCAGCAACTGGCATGTAGTAGGAGCAAGATATAATCTTTTCTTATTGTGAGCCACAAGAAATTTGGGGAAGTTTGTTACCATAGCAAAGCATAGTAGAAAATTATTATCACAAAATGTTTGTAATTAATTTTTAAAACTGTGAGAGATTGGCTTATTTATTTACTTTTCAGATGGAGTCTCACTCTGTCATCCAGGGTGGAGTGCAGTGATGCAATCTCAGCTCACTGCAACCTCCGCCTCCCAGGTTCAAGTGATTCTCCTGCCTCAGCCTCCCTAGTAGCTGGGATTACAGGCATGTGCTACCACGCCTGGCTAATTTTTGTATTTTTAGTAGAGACAGGGTTTCACCATGTTGCCCAGGCTGGTCTTGAACTCCTGGCCTCAAACGATCTGCCCGCTTTGGCTTCCCAAAGTTCTGGGATTACAGACGTGAGCCACTGTGCCCAGCCGAGATTGCTTTTTAGAATGACCGATCTACACACTAAGCAGCAATCCTTATGTTGAGGCCAACACTTGACACCACGAATTTTTGGAACACTAAGAGGAGAATAATAACAAAAATCATTGTTTTACTTTTAGTGCTTGTGATTACAAATGATGTAGGGTATCTCTTCATGTGTTCACTATGTTTTTAAAATTTGCTTTCTGTAAATTTTGTTTGTTAGGGAAGCATTTTTATTTTTTTCATATGGTTTGCCTGTTTTTTCTATCTTCTACTAAACGATCTCATCTTTTCCCCCCTTATTCATGTTGCCTAATTTCATGCATATTGAGTCTGTCTCTGAGATTGCCATTTTGCTACAGTGGTATATTTATTTATTATTGTAAAAATGCCACATCATTTTTATTACTATCACATTAAAATGTCTCATTAACTTCTAAGGAAAGATGCTCTCTCTTTTTCTTTAAAGTTAACCTATAGTAAAGATTTTTAGTAGTCCATATAATGTTATAATGTTTAGCAAATCATTCACGAAAGTTTCTGGCTCTTTATTAATAATCAATTTATTTTTTAGATTAATTTATGGAGTGTTGGTTTCTATCATATCACATCAATCACATTAAGCATGACTGACAAGAATTTTTACTGCAGCCACTTTGTCCAGTCTTCCGGTTGTTTAGTTCCTCTTTTGAGTTGCTGTTATTGCTAAGAATATCTCAATTTTAGTTACTTTTACTAATTGCCTGTTGCTGTTTAAAAGGAATTATTTTGTACGTTGATTTTTGATTTTGTTAAATTTCTAGGGTTTTTGTCTATTTTTTTTTTTTTTTTTTGCTCATCTCCCAAGCTGGTGACATAATTATCTTCAAACAGTGACACTTCCATTATGTGCTAATGATAACACCTCCCTTCAAATCTTTTTATGTCCACTGCAGGGAAGGCTGGGAACTGTTTTTGCACACATGGTGAGATGTCACAGCCAATGTCATCTAAGTAAGAAAAGGAGCACAGGCATCTGATAACAAGAAGCTTTGCTGTAGCTGCTTTCTCTAACATACATATTGCTGTCTTTTATTTGTTGACTTATTTTTAAGTTAACAAATTTAACTTAAAATTTGTTTTAAGTTAAAAATATGTTTTAAGTTTTATTTTTATTTTATTTATTTTTATTTTATGTTTTTTTATTTTAAGTTAAAAATATGTTTTAAGTTTAAAATATGTACATTATTGTACATATTTTACATAGTAAAATGTACATAGATGTTTCTTAATAATGTACATAGATGTACATAGGTGTTTCTTAATAATTCTGCTTCAAAGATTCATAATTTGAATGAGGAAATGAGGAATGGGTTCCCAAACTTCATGATGTATTATTAACCCAGTGAAAAATCAAAGGAAGAATCCAGACTTAATTTATTTATTCAAAAATGTAAGATTAGCATTTCTCTGGGTTGTAACAAAATTGCTAAAATTTAATAATTTTAAATTTTAATAATGTTATCTTATGCTCATTACCCAAACCTTACTTTTTATCAAGTAAAAAGTCATGATTTTTTAGCATGTAATGTTATCTAATATTGAAAACAATTAAATATAATAATAATCTACCAATACGTATAATCTAATAGAGTCTCTATGCATTCATATCTGTGAATTTTGTATTAAAAAGTAAAATAATGCAAAATTGTGACATATATCTTACTGAAATAATAAAAAAAATCAGATGAAGCAAGATGTATGACTGTACAGCAACTTTGCTGATCTTGTTTTCCTTCAGTAACATTAGCAAATTGCAATGGTATGTTTTGTATAGCATTTATGTAAACCTGTAGGCAACGTTAAAACAATTCTTTCATTAGTTTTATAGGTTCCATTTTAAAATGTTAGTTATGTTTTGTATGATCTAGCAGGTGAAAACACCACAGCAGAATTGGGAGAAGAAAATATTGAAGGCAAGTTACAGATGTTATTTCAAGGACAATATTAGAAAGGGCATCGTCTTGTTAAGAGCTGAATTCAGTGTTTCTACTTTTCTAAGATCACTTTGAAATGGAAATGATAAGAACCTTTAATGTCTTGTCCAAATAAAAAGGTATACAGAAATCAGAGCCATGCTTGGCAAGAGATAAGAGGCATTGCAAATACAGCTGGGTAGAGCAAGTTTATCGTGCATGGTCCCAACAGAATAGTGACAAGATAGAATAGCCGGGGATTTTAAGTGGAGGTACAGAGGTAGTTAGAGATACCTTCTTTATGCATTATCTTGTAATAGTGGGTACATAAATATTTATTTTTTGAATAGCGATATTGTAGCAAACCTGTATCAAAATTGATATATATATATATATATATATATTGCTATTTAGCTTTAGAAATTTCTCCAAAGAATTTCCTCCTTGATATATATTTTCTCTCTTAACTGTGATACAAATTATTTTAATATTATACAGCCTTGCTTATATCATGTATTACAACACCCTGTATATGAATAAAGATGAAAACTGTTGAAGACTATATCCAGATTTTATGATAACTATAAGTGCCAGAAATAAAGAAAGTAAAGGAAACAATATATTTAAAGATCTGTTCAGGAAATTTACACAGATGTTGCAGAGAGAGTTACAGTATTGAGAATATTATTCTGAACTCATTCTAAACACCACACTAAGGAAAAGCTCGATCTATTTTTTTCTTAACTTTTGTTTATCAGAAAGCTTGTACAGGGGACTTCCTACAGTATTGATGCTTGTTATCTTTCTTTTTTTGTTATCCAGAGAGTGCACTTTAAAAAAGTAAATGTACCAGGCACTGTGTTCAATGAGGGAAACTGATAGCTCAGCATTGGACAATTGAGACCAACAGGGTGCTTCTGCTGAATACGGATTCATTGATTTTTCTTCTTTTCAGAAAGACACTACTCCATTTACTCTGTCAAAACCCTTGCTTCCAGGCCATGTAGGTGCATGCTGGGTGTGAAGAAAAATCACATGCTATCAGACAAGTGTCTCTGATTATTTGCTCTTTATTTAGACAAGAGTTTTAGAAAACAAGCTAGTCTTTAGCTAGATTACAAAATTAACTAAGTAGATACACAAAAAAACATATATATGGATTAGCTCACATAAGTTAATAAAAATAAATTATTTAATGTATATTAACTTTCTTTCCATCTGTAAGCTTTACCTTTTCCAAATATAAGCACATATTTCATAATTGATCTTTTCTTCCAAAATGAAAACACGGTTTAGAAAAATTCTTTTGGAGAAAACTGTTAAGAAGTGATGTTTTTAAAACTACTGCCACCTACAAACATCTTTAAAATTAACTTTTCATGGTATTTTAACTTTTTAAAGGGGCTCAATGAAATGAAAATGAGTTTATAAACTGAAGCTTAGTTAATCTGTAAGGACGTTGCATTCTACATATTTAAAGAAAAAAACAACTATGTTTTTCATCTTTCAACAAGGTAAGCTTAAACATCAGTAAAGAAAGGTCCATAATAAACTTACTAAACTTAGATACTAGAAAAAATATAATCATATCTATTACATAACTCTAATTCACTGTTTTATTGATTGTAAGGCAATGTGCCAATTCTGATTGGATTTTTGGGCATTTGATCAAACAATGTGTGTTAAAACTCCAACTATAAGTTCTTTTCTTACCTATACAATTTCTTCAAATACTTGCATTTAAAATAGTTTGGATATAAATGAGACGTCAATTTGTAGATCTTACCAATTGTCAGATATAATTGGCAATTATAATCAGATATAAGCCCTAGGATATAATGTTAAGAATGTTGCGTTGACTGATGACATAGGTCCTTATTTAAGGGAATGTGAAGCAAAGGTGTCAGAAAAGGTTACATATTAGATATCCATACAATTGTTGCACATACTGCTAGTTTTGTTGTTGTTGTTGCTATTATTGTTTTTGTTGCCATTTTAAATAAAACGAGCAACTATTTTCTCTGTCTTTATTAACTATTGAGACAATAGTCTTCCTTGCCATGAGCTTACCAGGATCAACCTTGGTTTATACTGCCACCTAAGTTTGACAGTAACTATTTTTTTTCTCTACATGACAAAGCTCTATTAGGCTGAAATTTTTTCAAAACTATAAAACCTCATGTCATCTTTAAAAAAGTGACAACTTCTAGGTACATTCCTTTTAAAATTAGGCCGAGATATTGAGTGAAGTATTACAATATATTATGGAAGGCATAATAAAATGTTAGGTAGTTGTCACACTGGCATCACAGGAATTCTCACAAACTACAGATTTGCATTGATAAATAAGGAAGCTATGAAATAGACAATAATTAAAGATAGACCATTGAAATCATAAAGAGGGCCATGTTTACTGTATTCATATTTATGTTGCATATCCATTATCTATTTAGTAAAATGGACAGTTAAAAATAGATACTCACTATTCCCCACATCAGGGGAACATATAATTCAGTGCTCTTTCTATCTAATAGATCATAATCTAAATAAAATAAAAATTATCTGTCATATAGGGATATATATATTTTTTTACATATGACCATGAAAATAAATTATTTTCAAATCTTCAACTCCATAGCAGCTCTGTACATTTTATCTGGATCTTGAGTCTTCTCGTGTTATACATTAAGTATTTAAAGAATTGTTTTAAATCTTGCTGTTCATTTGAATACAGTATGGTGAGTTATAACTACAAAATAAGATTTTGAGGACCTGGAAAATATAGTCTTCTTCCAAGTGTCAGACTTGCAAGAAATTGTTTTACTGTTTATTCTGAGGAGGTGAAATTGTTTTACTGTTTATTCTGAGGAGGTGACAATTAATCCTGATTGTCATTTTCTATCCATAAGGAGGAAGGCAATTTGATTAACATGCATATGGCTGAATGGTTTCAAGAACAAACTGAGACACATTTTCCTTAGACAGTTTTGTAAATTATTTTGTACTATGAGGTCAATGGGATTGTAGCCTCTCAGGGATGTGATCTTGACAGAATAAAAGCAACTGCCTATTTTCATTAAAAATTCAAGGAACTCTGAATACTTTTTGAAAATATCATTCAAATATTTCATTCATTTCCTCCAATGTTACTCGAGCATTCTTCTGTATCCTCAATGACAGCTTTTCTCAAACTTTAATGTGAAAACAAATCACATGGGGATCTTATTAAAATTCAAATCTGACTCAGTAGGTCTGAGTTGGAACCCATGACTTCCTTTCCAGCAAACTCCCAAATGCTTATGCTGTTGTTTCTTCGAAACACATTTTGAGTAGGTAATGTTGATGCTTCTGGTTTCTTAAAAGACAGAGTTCTATGGCCATCATGGGGGAATAGTTAGAATTCAACTTCCTTCGGACTTATGCTTGATCATAATCTTAATTATAGGAGGGTTGTTTTACAGTTTTATTTTCTATTTTCATAAAATTAAGGTTTATAGCCAATATTCTCTTTGATTCCTAAGAGAAAGCATGAATTGGAGTAGATTCTAAGAGTTCAGATCTTGTGGCCAATTTTTCTCTATTAGCTGTCTCAGTAACTCACCATTGATTTTGCATACCATAGGTTCTTATTAAGAATTCATATTCACTAACAGACTGCAACCTACAAGAAAACTCTTAAACTTTATGCAAACTTTAAAAATAGTGATAAATGAAAGCAATTTTTTTGAAAAACAAGAATACTTATGCTTAAAATTTTACAGGTTTACTTCATTAAAAGTCCTTAGACATTCATACCTCTCTATGTTCACATAACTTAGTACCTAAACATATAAAGCATCCGTTATCCAAATGATGACAGAAATGGTGGTGAGTACATGTGTGTGTGTGTAATCAAGAAAGACAAGCATATGAACATACTTACAAAAAGAAAAAGAGAAAGAAAGTTGTCAGAATAAGGTGAGATTTTGCACTTTTCACTTCAGCAGCTGTGTTGGAAATAATTTTTCTCCATGTGGTTCTCCAAGACCATGGACCATTCCTCTGCAGCCTGCATTTTCTAACTGGTTAAAGAAAGTCACCTGACTTATACTGCCTTTGCCTTTGCCCTAAATGATATGGAGCATCAATATAATATTGGAATTTTTCTCCTTTGCTGAAAGTCAGAGAACCTTGGTGGTACTGTCTCCATGAGATTTGCTAAATGCATGTTCTTAGTGGTTTTATTCTATTTTATTTTATTTTATTTTTTTGAGACGGAGTCTCACTCTGTCACCCAGGCTGGAGTGCTGTGGTGCGATCTCAGCTCACTGCGACCTCCACCTCCAGGGTTCAAGCAATTCTCCCACCTCAGCCTCTAGAGTAGCTGAGATTACAGGCGTACCCCACCACACCCAGCTAATTTTTGTAGTTTTAGTGGAGTCAGGATTTCACCATGTTGGCCAGGCTGGTCTCAAACTCCTGCCTTCAAGTGATCTGCCCGCCTTGGCCTCCCAAAGTGCTGGGATTACAGGCATGAGCCACTGGACCCTATTTTAAAAAATATTTCTATCAGCATTTCTATTTATACACAAGAAAGCCTTTTAAAATTATTTAAAAATATGATAAATATCATTGTCTTATATTTTTTCTATATCAGACCCCAAATATGCAATGAAATAAAGCAAAACACACTACTACACATTTTATTAACACTGAGAAAAGAAAGCATTCCTTGATTCATGCCCGTGGTTCATTATTTCACTTGCCAAAAATCAACAGAAGAGTAATCATCTAGACTAGCTTGATTTACAATGACACGGGGTTATTGGCTGAAAGATATCTGGGACTGTTGCACCACCAAAATGATCTAAACCTGAGGCAGTATTTCTCTGGACTGGTGCCCTGACTGTCTCTATCTTGTAAACAAAATTTTGTCTCAGAGTGCTTTCAATTTCTTTTCCACCTTAGATTGGCCACTTATAGAAAATACTACTCTATAAAACTAGGATTTTTTCCCATGAACAATTTTTACATAAATGTGTTCCTCTTAAAATGTAGCTTTGTAACCCCCTTATTCAAGCCCAAAAGGAATGAAGAAGGAGGGCTTGAGATCTTGTTCTCCTGATAACAAATTCCATCCTGGCTTGCAGCCTGCTCTTAGCAGGAAAAGAGGGAAGTCACAGCAGGCATTTGCCCCTGGAATATTCAAAGTCTCAATGAATAATTTCAGGAGACCAGGATTAATCTCTCCATGCTTTTTTTGCATGTTTATGTTAATCACCACAAAATGTCCTAAGTAACCAGGTTTTCTCTCAAATTGCAATGTCTCACACCTTAACGGAATCCTATTTTCACACAACACTGCACAAACTTCCACCTCTCTCCAAACATGAAAACCTTTCCACTCCCCTTTCTGGAACACATATCTCATCTCTTTTTTTATTATTCCTTTTATTTTTTTGCCCTAACTGTAACCTGGCTCTTCTCAAAAGATGTTGCTTCTGAACTGCTGGTACCACAGGTTGTGGCAATTTCTCTCCAAGTCTCTCAAATCAGTTGGTAGGAAGATGAGGTTGTATTCTTTGCTCCTCATGGTAACTTACGGATCATTGCTCTCTTTCCCCTAAAACACTCCAAATTTCAAGCCCATGTTACCAGATACTACCTAATTTTTCAGAACAGAATCCATATGTCCTCACAAAATGTCCCAATATACCTGGAGTATATTAACTCTGGAGTTTTATTCTTTTACACTAGTTATGTCTTTGAAGTTCAAAATCTCCAGTGGTTAAGAAATGCCATTGAAAAGGAGGAAAAAAAATACCTTGTTTCTAACTAGAAAACCTAAAGATCTCCTTTATGTCAATAAGAAAAAGGCAAATCAATAGAAAATTTGAAATGGTCAAGAAAAAATATAAACATTGGTGGTTCTTACTTTATTAGTAATAAAGTTTCAAAAAGCAACAAAGACTATGTACCTACCAGATAGACACAAATCAATGTGTTTGATAATTCCAAGTGATGGCAAAAATGTAGACCAAAGGAAGTTTTAATATCCTGCTGATGATACTGTATTGTGAAGGCATTTGTGTATTTTATTTTCTAATAAAGTTAAACTTCCGTGTAGCCTATGGCTTATAGATTGTGTTTCTTGGTATTTAACTAATAGATGTATAACAACATTGTCTATAACTGCAAAACCAAGGAAATAACTAAACATTTATCAGCATTTAATTCTGGCATATTTAGACAATGGAGTTTCATATATCAATGAAAATTTGATTTTTATATGCAAGAACATAAGTAGATTTTACAATTTATGTTAGTGCAATAAACCAGACACAAAATATGTATCCTGATGTCTCCATTTATGTAACATTCAAACAAACCAATCAAAACTATATTTTAGAGGATGCATTTTTAGATGGCAAAACTGTAGTAGAAAACATTGAAACAATTTCAGTTGACACTGGAGCATGGGTTTGAACTTCATGAGTCCACTTAAAAACAGATTTTCTTCTACCTCTGCCACCCCTGAAACAGCAACACCAACAACGACATTTCCTCCTTCCCCTAGGCCTACCCGATGTGAAGATGATGAAGATGAAGACCTTAATGATGATCCACTGCCACTAAATTAATAGCAAATAGATCATCTTTTTTTTGGATTTTTTGGTAATGTTTTATTTTATCTAGCTGACTTTATTATAAGAATACAGTAAGTAATACATATAACATACAAAGCATGTGTTAATCCACTGTTTATGTTATCTGCAAAGCTTCTAGTCAGCAGTAGGCTATTAGTAGTTACCTTTTGGGGGAGTCAAAAGTTACACTTGGGGGCCAGATGCGGTGACTCACACCTGTTACCCCAGAATTTTGGGAAGCTGAGGCGGTGGATCACTTGAAGCCAGGAGTTTGAGACCAGTCTGGCCAATATGGTGAAACTCCATTTCTACTAAACATATAAAAATTAGCCAGGCATGTTGGCAAGTGCCTTTAATTCCTGCTACTCAAGAGGCTGAGACAGGAGAATCACTTGAGCGTGGGAGGTGGAGGTTGCAGTGAGCCGAGATTGTGCCCCTGCACTCCAGCCTGGGCTACAGAGCAGGACTCTAAAAAAAAAAAAAAAAAAAAAAAAAGTTACACTTTGATTTTTGGCTGTATGGGGAGTGGTTCCCCTAACCCCAACATTGTTCATAGGTCAACCATATTGTAAATTTCACTTGTAGCTACCTCTAAGAGTTTAATGGGATTTTGATTGGTAAGGAGTATATGAGGAGCTTTAAATTACTGGGAGTCTTCTATATGGTTTGAAGTTACACAAATATTTCCTTTAAACTATTCAGTATTCAGTGGTACATATGTAACTAAATATGCAACTTCTTTAAAAATATGAAAGATTTATATTTCATATAAAGCTTTGAAATTTCTTTGAACTCTGCATTAGTTTCATATTGCTGCAGTAACAAATTGTCACAAATTTATTGATTTAAAACAATACAAATGTATTTTCTATACATTATCTACATTCCTGAACATCAGAAGCCTAAAGTTAATCTCACTGGACTAAATTCAAGTATTGGCAGTGTTGCATTTCTTCTGGAGTCTCTAGCAGAGTCTATTTTCTTACCTTTTCTGGCTCCCAGAGCTCCCCGCAGTCACTATCTTATGACCCTGTTCTCTACCTTCAAAGCCAGCAATATAGCATCTTCAAATCTGTCTGTCTCTGCCTCTCTTTGTCTTTGTTTATCTCTCTCTTTCCCTCTTTCCCTCCGTCTTTTTCTCTTTTTCTGTCTCATCTCTGTTTTCATCATCACATCCTCTCTGAGTCTCACCCTCCTGCTTTCCTCTTACAAGGACCCTGTGATTACATTGGGTCCACCCACATAATCTTGGATTCTCTTCACATCTTGAGTACCTTAGCTTGATCATAGCTGCAGAGTCTTGTTGCCACATGAAGTAACATAATTCTAGATTCTGCAGATTATTATGTGTACATCTTTGAGGGGCTCTCTCAGTCTACTAAACCTCAAAATTTGCCTTTAGGTGCTTACCCATTTCTCCTCTCACCAGTGCAGTAAAACATATCAAAAAATGTTAGACTCCAGATCTCCAAATCCCAAAGAAATTCCCTTTTCCCGTAGAAACAACTTTATTCAGGTTTTTCTGTCCAATATTGTACGCAAATAGCCTTTGTTACCTATGTTGATGCCAAGACCAGTGCTTAGTTCTCATTCTTCATTATAGGATCAGTAGTTGAACGAGTTGAATATTCTGCATTTCTGGAAACATTTTTATTGTTTATTTCTAGCATATACTTCTACTAAGGCTGCTTCTGTTCAGACCTCTCTGATGATCTCCCCTTATCACCCTGACCCTAGGATGTTGCAGCGTTCTGGAGCAAAATCCTTAGGCAGCTTCTCTTTTCTATTCACATCAAGTCCTTAGTTAATCTCTTCTAGTTTTATTTCTAGATCAATGATTCCAAAATGTGTATCTCCAGCCCATACTTCCTCTCTAAGGAAGCTGACTCATGTCCAGTTGGGTTCTGGATCTCATCCTACAAGACAAAGAGGTATTTCAAACTTCATAACCAGAGCCGAACTTTCAATTTTGCCCACCACAAACTTGTTCTTCTCTCTTCTTAAATGACAACTCCATTCTCTAATATTTCAACTCAAACACCTTGTAATCACCCTTTTCTCCTCCTTCTTACTCACACCTGGCATTGATTTCTTTATAAATATTGTTTATACTCCTTTTAATATATGTCCAGCATTTGATCAATTCTCAACACCTCCACTACTAGCCTCCTAGTGTAGACTTTCAGTTCAGAGACTAAGACATTCATTCAGGCAAGAGGTGAATGTGCATTTTTCTTGTATTATTTATTTATTTATTTTTGCATTTACTATTCTATAGTGTATTCTAAACAGAAAAGCCTGAATCATCCTTTAAAAAGTATGAATCATATATTGTCACTCCTTTGCTCCCAACTCTACAATGTCTTGCTATATTACTCCTAATCAAAGTCCTTATAACAAAACCCTTCATGATCTGACCCTTCGTTCCTCTCTGATTTCATCTCCTTCCACTCTCTCCCCTTTCTTCCTTGCATTACACCTATTATATGGCTTCCTCGCCATTATTCACACATTCAGTCCTGTTCCTCTCTCAAGACTTTTCCCCTTGAATGTTTTCTATTGGAGAGCACATTCCCCACCACCTGCAAACTGCTCTCTTGCTACTTCTTGATAATCACTCAAGAACCACCCAATTAGTGAGGCATTCCCTGAACACCATTAGAAAAGTAAGGATAAGCAGTTGCTGACAAGCCCAGTCCTGATTAATTTTGCTTTATTTCTTTTCAGAATACTTCCATCATCTAACATGACATTTATTTATTTATCTGTTTAAATTTGTTATCTGTTTACCTGTAGAAAACAATCTTACTGACTCTAGCAGGGGCTTCGTTTTGTTCACTGTCGTACCCCCATTTCCTTAGACCAGTACCTTAAGCATAGCATACACTCAATAACTACCTGTGGAATGTACTAGTGCCTTAGCCAGTTTGGACTGATATAACAAAAATACTTGGTGTCTTAAACAATAGAAATTTGTTTCTCATTATCTGTAGGCTAGGAAATCAAAGATTAATTGCTAGCTAATACTGTTGTTTAGGAAAGTCTTTTCCTGGTTTGCAGATGGCTGCCTTCTCGATGTATCCTCATAGGGCAGAAAGAGAGATTGTGTCTCTCATTTCTCTTCTTATAAGGGCACTACATGAAGCCTCCATCCTCATAAGCTAATAACTTTCCAAAGGCCCCACCTCCACATACCAACACAACGGAGATTAGGGCTTCAACATGCAAGTGTTGGAGGGATGCTAATATTCAGTCCATGGCAACAAGTCACTGGTTAAATGAATCCCAACTCTCTATACTCTATATCAAATAAATTGGTTCCTGAAAATTAACAATGCTAAGATAACCAAAGTACCCAGACCAATGTAAAACCATTTAGTGGGCCGGGCACCGTGGCTCACACCTGTAATCCCAGCACTTTGAGGGGCTGGGGCAGGTGGATCACTTGAGTCCAAGAGTTTGAGACCAGCCTGGGCAACATACCAAATCCCTGCCTCTAAAAAAATACAAAAATTAGCCAGGCATGGTGGTGAGCACTTGCAGACTCAGCTTCTCGGGAAGATCACTTGAGCCAAGGAGTTTGAGGCTGCAGTGAGTCAAGATTGTGCCACTGCGCTCTAGTCTGGGCAACAGAGCAAGACCCTGTCCCAGATAAATAAATTAAAAATAAAACCACGTAGTGCCCATAGTTATTTGCTTCAGCTCACAAGAGACAAAGTGGTTACCGAAACATGAGATCTCTGGGAATGGACATCTGAATCGAGGTAAGTGTAACAGCACAGATTGTGCTCCTATCACGTTTCATGACAAGGCTTCGCTGGTGTTTTGGGAAAAGTGGGTCTTAGTGTCATATTGGAGATAGAGGGTGCTATAAAAACTAAGATCTGGAAACTGGTGCCGTTGGAATTAGAATTTTGCTACCATATGTCACCATATAATTTGCACCCTTACACACACTGAGGTGTTCTGGAGGCCTGCACTCACACTGTTACTTAGATTTGTAACAAGGGCTAAATTACTGAAATTTACTGCAAGTCAGGCACATGGTGGCTCATGTCTGTAATCCCAGCACACTGGGAGGCCCAGGTGGGAGGATTGCATGAACCTGGGAGTTCAAGACCAACCTAAGCAACATAGTCAGACCCTGTCTTTACAAAAAATAAAAAAACGAACTAGGTGTGTTGGTGTGCAGCTATATAGTCCAAGCTACTTGGGAAGCTGAGGTGGGAGGATCACTTGAGCCCCAGAGGTTGAGGCTGCAGTGAGTTGCAATCATGCAAAAAAATAAATAAATGAAATAAACAAATAAAAAAGAAAAAAATAAAAAAGAAAGAAAATTATTTTAAAAAATTATAAAAATTTACCATGAGATAGTATTATGCAATCAGAATCCTACTCTCCCATCAGTCAAAAAGACCTTCTGACACATATACAGTTGCAATGATCTCTAGCCAGCTGGTTGTGACTCATACCAAACAACCAATGTAGATTTTCATGGTAAGTAGACAGCATTTTCCCTACTAGTGGAAATGGCCTTTGGTGACCCTTGCTGGTTCAATAGGTAAAGTCCAGAATTTCCAAGGTCAAAAAATATTACAGAACTAATATTTAGCCTATTACCTAACTGTACCTTCTTCTTTCTTATTTGATTTTCCTGAAGCTCTCACCTTGCTCAATTGGCTAACAGATTTTTTTCACGGGCCTTCCAGTGTGCTGTGCAATGCTATTAATTGGACCCTTCATCATTGACATTTAGTCAGGGCCAACTTTATGGTAAGCTGCCAGGGCAGTTTTACAGGGCCCTCTGCTTAGGGTTTAATGTTCTGCCCTGGTCATCTTGACATTTAAATTTGTATTTTGTCAATGAATTCTGGTAGGATAATGGTGGATGAGCTGGGTGTGTGCAGCCCCTATTTACCCAAAGTCACTTTTCCTGTTGTCACTGTAGCATGGGATCTCGGCAGCCCATCTCTTGTTGCCTGGTGCAGCGGTCCTGCTAGCCCTTTTTCTTGCTTGCTGTCCAGTGGGGTTGGGTACCTGCAGCTCATAGCATCTCAGTGCAAGGAATGGTGGCCCATCACCCAAATATCATTGGGTGTCTGGTGAGCATTCATCCACAGGTGGCATCTCTATGAGCATAAGCCTCTCTCCCACCCCCATGCAGATAACTAGTATGACCCAGCACAAAGATTTAAAGATCTTGAGAGTCATCTATCTGCCATGGGTTGGGGCAGTGAGCTTGTGAGAAAGTTTCTGTCTCAAATTCCCCAGACCCCTTCCAGGCTGGAGTGTGGAATGCGAGTTTGGCGGCTGGCAGGAATGAACATTCCACACGACAGGGTGGTAGCCCCATGTACTTGGGAAGGTCCGCACTCCAAGATTACCTCCATGCCTGGAGTGCTCTTTCAGCCAGCTTCTTGCCTGGAAGGAGCCTTTCTTCCTTCTTCAACCCTTTTTGAGTCTGGTCTGTGATTTTTCTGTTTCTGGCCTGCTAGAGGCATCTTCCTGGATAAGCCCCAAGAAACAAATTGCTTAACATTGCTTACTCTGCACACAAGTTAAATGCTCTCATATTTCCACTTAAAACTGTCATTGTATGATATAAAGATGAACAGCAAAATGTGTTCTAATAATTTAAAGTATAAATTTTTCTTTACTTAAAACAACATTAAATAGCAAACAAGAAAACTTACAATAAATCAAGAAAGAGGCTGCAGAGAAAAGGATAATCTGTGCTTTAATGGCATTGTTTTCCTGTTTTTTTATACAAGGAACTCCAGACTTTCCTTTTGCTGTAGGCTCTGAAAATTATGTAGCTGAACCTTATGGTGTAAGCCCTGAATGGTGTGTTGCCTTGACGTTTGGTAAAACCAAGTAGACTCAAATGAATGGCTTGACAAGTTCTCCTCACCGTTCTAGCCCTGTGGATAAGGTCTCCCTAGCCAAACAACCCTCTTTATCAAGGGGGACCAGGTAACACTCCTCCTATCCCTGAGTGGCAGGATGTAGTTCTCTTTCAGACTGTGGAATTATTCAAACAAGCCAAGCACATCCTCCTGCAGGAACCAGGGGGCACCCCATCCTCTTAGCATTACAAAATCTGCCTTCTCCTGCCGCTTCTTGTCCACTCTGTTTCCAAAACAATCTCTGTGTGACCCTGCATGGCATGTAATGTCTTCCTCTCCTTGGCTGTATGTGTATATCCTAAGAAACTGCTGCTGATCACATTTCTCCTGTGTTGAGGAGCACAGGTTCAGCCATCCCCATGATCTTAGGGCAGGTATCCCTCTCTCACCAATGGGGGAAGAGAAGCCAAATACACCAACTGTACCTTTGTTATATTAAAGAAATCATCTTTTAGCTTAGTTTCTAGTTATTGACTGTGTTAGTTATCTATTGCTAGGTAACAAATTAGCCCCAAATTTAGTAGTATAAGACAACAGCCATTTGTTATCTCTGCATTAATGTGGGTCCAGAACTTAGATGTGGATTACCTGTGCACCTCTGGGTTAAGGTTTTTCAAAAGTTTGCAGTCAAGTGTTTCTCAGGGCTGTGGACTCATCTGAGGGCTTGAGTCAGGGGCAGGTTCTATACCAAATTCATGTAAATGATCATTGGCAGCCTTAGTCCCATGTCATGTCTTTCCACAGGGTTGTCTCTCAGTATGTCAGCTGGTTTCTCCTGGGCTGAGAAATCCAAGAGAGAGCAAAAGAATAAGAGAGATAAAAACCCAAGATGGAAGCTGGAGTCTTCTATAATCTAACCTCAGAAGTGACCTCCCATAGTATTTTATTTGTTAGAGGCAAGTCACTATATTCAGGTCCCATTCAAGTGGTGAGAACGATACAAAGGTGTGACTATTAGGAGGTGAAGGTAATTGCGTCATCTCAAAGTCTCAGCTCACCAAAGTCAGCTCCCTGGACTCCCAGTGATTAGCATCCCTTTCACAGGCAAAATATTCTCCCTCCCTCCCAAGGTCTCTGTGATTAGTTTCCCAGAGCTGCTATAACAAAATAGTACAAAGGGATAATTTAAAACAATAGAAAGTTCTTCTGGGGTCTATGAGTCTGAAATTAAGGTGTTGGCAGTGCCATGTTTCCTCCAGTGCTTCTAGAGTTAAATCCTTCTTTGCCTTGTTCATCTTCCGATAGCCCCAGATATTTCTTGGCTTATAACAGCTTAACTTTAATCTGTGCTCCTATATTCACATGGCTTTCTTCCCTTTATGTGTCTCTTTGTCTTCACATGGCATTCTCACCTCTGTATCTCCTCTCCTCTTCTTATAAGGGTACCAGTCACATTGGATTGAGGGTACACCGTACTCCAATGTGACTTCATCTTAACTAATTATATCTGCAATCACCCTTTTCCAAATAAGGTCACATTATACGGGTTCTGGGGTTTAGGACCTCAGCATATCCTTTTAGGGGACACATTCAACCCATATCAATCCCCAAATGCCTCATTCTATTAAAATGATGCTCTGTCAATGACATATGTAAACATTTTTCCACAGTGTGTCTTTTATTCATGTATCAAAAATCTATAAAGTTTTTTATCTTATGAAAAATATAGTTTTATTATTTTTTAAAATTTTCCTCTTTCTATTATATGTTTTTTTCTAAATTAAACAGGAAAATAGATAACTCTGTAACAAATATATAACTGACATACAAAGCAGTAATGCAACTCCAAACAACACCAAAGATGTTGCAGAAGAGTTCTTGAAACTTACATATAGATGCATCCTGTGTTAGTATCTGGGTATCCATAATAAAAGATAGGAATACTGAACATGTACTTTTTTTTTTTTTTTTTTTTGAGACAGGGTCTCGCTCTGTAGCCAGGCTGGAGTGCAGTGGTGTGATCTCGGCTCACTGCAATCTCCGCCTCCCAGGTTCAAGAGATTCCCCTGCCTCAGCCTCCTGAGTAGCTAGGACTGCAGGAGTGTGCCACCACACCCAGCTAATTTTTTTTTTTTTTTTTTTTTTTGTATTTTTAGTAGAGGTGGGTTTTCATCATCTTGGCCAGGATGTTCTCCATCTCCTGACCTGTGATCTGCCCACCTCGGCCTCCCAAAGCACTGGGATTATAGGCGTGAGCCACCATGCCCAGCCAAACATATACATGTTTATTGCTTATTGAGAGAAAGTGAATATTGATTCAAACAGGCAAATTCACACTTGGCTTTTATTTTAAACATTTAAACATAAGTAAACATTTACATATGCCGGCCTACTAAGCCAACTTCGGTTCAGCTATAACCGTGTTCTCATTCAAGTAACAAAAAAATCCAACTTGCAGTGGCTTAAAACACATGTATTATTTTTCTCACATAACACAAAGTCTAGAAGTAAATGTAACCTGCATCAATTCAACAGATCAAAGATGCCAGCCTTTATCTCTCACAGTATTCTCTCAAAGTGTAATGGCTTTATTCCCCATGCTTGTTACTTTTTGTTCACAGACAACTGCTTCTGCTCTAAAAAAATGCATTTATTTGAAAGACAGGATGACAAAGAAAAGGGCGCAATGCTATCTACTCTTTCCCCATTTATAAAAAAACAACAACAACAACAAAAGAAAACACTTTCTACAAAACAAAACTCTCACTAAAAAAAAAATCTATGCACGTGTCAATGGCCAGACGTTGAGTCACACAGCCACTGCACTTGTGAATTCTGAAGTGGCAAGTGGCCATAATCATCACAGTGGAGCTCAATATTTAATGCAAGTTGATTTCACTACCTCTTTTTTTAAATATCGAAGACAAATTTATTTCTGTGCAAAACTCAGTGAACATAAAACAACAAAAAGGGAGCTCTAATTAAAGAAAATAACTTTTTGACTAATATGCAAATATCACTAGTGGTTAAGTTTGAATAATAGAGAGAAGTCATCATTATTTCTAGAACCAATATCTTGCATAGACAATTTCTATAAGAAATTCTGGGCTGGGTGCAGTAGCTCATGCCTGTAATCCCAGCGTTTTGGGAAGCTGAGGCAGGTGGGTCACGAGGTCAGAACTTTGAGACCAGCCTGGCCAATATAGTGAAACCCTGTCTCTACTAAAAACTAAAAAAATTAGCCAGGGGGCTGAAGCAGGAGAATCAATTGAGCCCGGGAGGCAGAGGTTGCAGTGAGCCAAGATTAAGCCATTACACTCCAGCCTGGGCAACAGTGTGAGACTCTGACTCAAAAAGAAAGAAAGAAGGAAAGAGAGAGAGAGAGAGAGAGAGAGAGAGAGAGAGAGAAGGAAGGAAGGAAGGAAGGAAAGAAAGAAAAAGAAAGAAAGAAAGAAAGAAAGAAAGAAAGAAAGAAAGAAAGAAAGAAAGAAAGAAAGAAAGAGAAAGAAAGGAAGGAAGAAAGAGAAAGAAAGATCTGGGCCGGGCACTGTGGCTCACGCCTGTAATCTCTGCAATTTGAGAGGCCGAGGTGGGTGGATCACCTGAGGTCAGGAGTTCAAGACCAGCCTGGCCAACATGGTGAAACCCTGTCTTTACTGAAAATACAAAAATTAGCTGGGCATGGTGACAGGCAACTGTTATCCCAGCTATTCGGGAGGCTGAGGCAGGAGAATCACTTGATCGTACTACTGCCCTCCAGTCTGGGTGACACAGTGAGACTTTGTCTCAAAAAGAAAAAAAAAAATCTGGTAATTTTAAAGAGTAGAACTTTGTGCTAGCTTTCTGGTCGAAATATTCCCAAGCCTTACACATATTTCCTGCATATCAAATGTTGCAACCAGATTTGTCTCTATGTGACTCTGTTTTTGTTGAGATTATTTCTTATATTTTCGTTAGTTTATACTTGCTACTTTTAATTATTCTGTACATTTTTATGTGTCTTGGATCACTTTCTCTCTAATGTTTGCTTTGAGTCAGCCAATGCCACAGCACTGTACAACCATTAGAATAGCTGTCTAAATTATAATGCCTCAATGTTAATCATAGCATCTAAAAGAGATGTAGTGGCAGTTTGTCGACAAAATGACAATTATTATGGTAAGTCACTCATAAACAGACATGGATTGCAGAAGATGGTTCAAATGTCTCCATTTTTCTCATTTATTTGCTTTGGATACATACAGAATTGATATCAGATGGTCATTTAAGTGAAAAAAAAAAGTGCCTCTTTTGTTTCTTTCCATATTATTCTTCCCACCTCAATTCTCTTTCACTTTTGCTTTTCAATTCTCTCATCAGCTTCTATTCATACCAATGCCTAGTTCTAGCTTTTTGTACGTAGGGTAGTTATAGATTCTTACAGTTGGTACTCAGTAGATTAAGGGTTTCTGGATTATTCAGAATAGAAAGACAACACACAGTCGGAGATAAATATTTGCAAACCATGTGTGTAACAAGGGACTTATATTCATAAAATATAAAGGACACTAAAAGCTCAACAATACAAAATCAAATCAATTAAAAATGGGCAAAATATTTTGAGTACTTTATCAAAGAAGATTGCAAATGGTAAATAATTTAAATGAATGGAAGATGCTGAACATCATAAGTCAGTAAGAAAATCCAAATTAAAACCACATGAGATACTGTTGTATTCTTATTAGAATTGGCCAGAAAATGTTAATATCAATTGCTGGCAAATATGTAGAGCAACTGGTGCTCTCATACATTTCTGTTAGAAATACACATATCAAAAAGAGTGAATTCTGGCCGGGTGTGGTGGCTCATGCCTGTAATCCCAGCACTTTGGGAGGCCGAGGAGGGTGGATCACCTGAGGCCAGGAGTTCGAGACCAGCCTGGGCAACATGGTGAAACCCCATCTCTACTAAAAATACAAAAAATTAGCTGGGTGTGGTGGCTATATTGATGTAGCTATTGTACTGATCAGTTGTCAAATTCTCATAAAATATGACATATATACAGTTACCACACTACACAAAAATCTCACTCCTGTGTATTGATCTGAGAAAAATGAAAACCTGGGTTCACACAAAATTTGTACATGAATGTTTACAAAGACTTTATTTCTGATTACCCAAAACTGAAAACAGGCCTGGTGTGGTGGCTCACGCCTGTAATCCCAGCACTTTGCGAGGCCGAGGCAGGTGGATCATGAGGTCAGGAGTTTGAGACCAGCCTGGCCAAGATGGTGAAACCCTGTCTCTACTAAAAATACAAAAATTAGCCAAGCACAGTGATGGGTGCCTGTAATCCCAGCTACTCAGGAGGCTGAGGCAGGAGAATCACTTAAACCTGGGAGGTGGAGGTTGCAGTGATCCGAGATTACACCACTGCACTCCAGCCTGAGCGACAGAGCGAAACTAAGTCTCAATTAAAAAAAAAAAAAAACTGAAAACAATTCCAATGCCCTTCATTCATCTGTGGACTGTATAAACAAACTGTGGAATAATTATGCACTGGACAAGTCCTTGGCAATGAAGAACAAACTAAAGACACATACAATAATATGAATTATTGCAATGCATCACAAATGCATCATGCTAAATGAAAGCCAGACTCAAAGACTACATATCATATAATTTCATTCATATAATATTTTGGAAAAGGAAAAACAATAGAAACAAAAATTATATCAGTTGTTATCAGGGGCTGGTTGTAGGGAACAAGAAGATTCTAAACAGGCATGAGGGAATTATATAATGGAAATATTAAATATCTTTTGTTGTTGTTGTTGTTGTTGTTGTTGTGTTGTCACCCAGGCTGGAATGCAATGGCGCCATCTCAGCTCACTGCAACCTCCTTCTCCTGGGTTCAAGTGATTCCCCTGCCTCAACCTCCCAAGTAGCTGGGATTACAGGCGCCCACCAACACGCCTGTCTAATTTTTGTATTTTCAGTAGAGACAAGGTTTCACCATGTTGGCCAGGCTAGTCTCGAACTCCTGACCTCAGGTGATCCACCCACCTCGGCATCCCAAAGTGCTGGGATTACAGGCATGAGCCACCACACCCAGCCTAAATATCTTTATTTTGGTGGTGTTTACATAATGTATATGTTTGTCAAGAGTCACAGAATTCTATGTCAAAAAAAGTGAATTCTGGCTGGGTGCGGTGGCTCACACCTGTAATTCCAACACTTTGGGAGGCCGAGGTCGGTGGATCACCTGAGGTCAGGAGTTCGAGACCAGCCTGGCCAACATGATGAAATCCTATCTACTAAAAATATGAAAAATTAGCTGGGCATGATGGCGGATGCCTGTAATCCCAGCTACTTGGGAGGCTGAGTCAGGGAATTGCTTGAATCTAGGAGGCAGAGGTCACATTGAGCCGAGATCCTGCCACTGCACTCCATCCTGGGCAAGAAGAGTGAAACTTCGTCTAAAACAAACAAACAAACAAAAAACAAAGAGTGAATTCGGCTGTATGATTTTTATCTTAATATTCAAAAATAAAAAAGATATAATTTCTTTGACTTCTTCCCCAATCTTTGGTATTGTAGTACTAAAAAAACAATTATTGTCCTTCCTCCCCATTAATTTTGCTTTTTGCCTCCATACACACAATAATTCGCATTGCCCTTTGCATTAGTCTGTTCTTGCACTGCTCTTAGTACGTACCCGAGACTGGGTAATTTATAAAAGAAAGAGGTTTAATTAACTTACATTTGCACAGGACTAGGGAGACCTCAGGAAACTTACAGTCATGGCAGAAGGGGAAGCAAACACATACTTCTTCAAATGGCGGCAGGATGAAGAAGTGCAGAGCAAAGTCAGGAAAGGCCCCTTATGAAGCCATCAGATCTCATGAGAATTCATTTTCACAAGAACAGCCTGGGAGAAATGCCCCCATAATCTAATTACCTTCCAGAAGATCCCTTCCATGACATGTGGGGGTTATGGGAACTACAATTCAAGATGAGATTCGGGTGGGGGCACAGCCAAACCATATCACCCTTTATACCTTCTATATTCATAATCAGACCACAGCATGATCCACGGAGGCAATTACAATTTTTGAATTGGAAAGGGGAAGGTTACAAAACAAAAGAGGCAAAAGTTTTTTCATTTATAGAGCAAACTATTGGAAATATATGTGAAAATAAATTGTAAGTGTGCTGGTATAAAGAAGAGGCAATACTTTTATATCAGGATCAAATAATCAATATCAATTACCAGAAATTCTGAATTCTCATCCAAAAGGAAAGAAGTATTTTATCTGTTTAAGAAACTGGTTGAATAAAATGTGGATATAATGGTGGTTATCTCTAAATGAACTTGAGATACTAGGCTACCTATATAGAATGCAGAGAAAAAAATGCAGGGCTTAGACATATAAAAAATTAAAATATATTTAACACACATGACCTATATTTGTATTTGTATTGTTAGTCATGGTTCAGAGTACACAACATTCAACAAGCCATTGGGGACTGATTGGTTAAGGTAATATCCACATTCTTGAAAGGTGAAGTAATTAGTGGCTTTTCTCTGAAGCCAAGAATAAAAGTGAAGAAACAGCTATATAAATGGGTTTCCTAATATTAACAAGGATGACTGGATATTGGAGTCACAAGTGGCAGTAATTAAATGATAGATAATTGAACAGACTTGTTTAATAGTAATAGGCAGGAAGGCCAAAATTATATGGTGGTGTTAATTTTAATGTAGAGTTTCAAAGTTTGAATCTGTAGAAGCCAACATAAATTTATCCTTGCTATTAAACCACAAATTTTAAATTGTCTGACATAAAAGGATATTTGACTTAAGGAAATTTAAGATTTAAATTTAATTTTTAAACATAATATTTAAAATTTTAGACTGGAGAGTTTTAGCCTATACCCCATTCCCTTAGTGGAACTAGTTCACACCCCCACTCCTTCCTCAATGAGGGGGAAGCTGTGAATCTGTGAACGGCCACATTTATGGGCTTTATATACAGCTGCTAGTCTTTCCCAAAGGGACTGAAAACAATTTAACCATGTACCCATGCAGTGAGGAAAGAGAAATACCGAGACTTTGGGGGATTACTGAATACTGGCTCTGAAATAGTAATAATTACTACAGAATTAAAATGACTTTCTGGTTTACTATCATAATGGGGGACTCAGATGATAAACAGGAATTTTGACTTGAATCCATTCTCATGAGCTCAGAGTGTCCCTAAATGCATACTGTGATTATTTTTCCATTTTGAATTAACTGTTGGCATCAACACATACAGACACAGGAAACATTCTTCTTTTAGTTATGTGACCTATGGAGTGAGAGATAATGCTGTAGAAAGAGCTAAGTTAAATCCCGAGAACAGCCAATCCCCTAGAATTAGTAAACCAAAAGCAATTATCACACTGATGGAAAAATGGCAGTTTCTTCTTCAGGAGAATCTTAATGAAACAAGCAATGTGCAAATAAAACTCTGATCTCTTTGGCAAAGGCAGAAAATTGAGAATCTACTTTTGGCATGTTATTGGTTACGGGCAGAAAGTTAACCCCTGATCATGGAATACCGAGTCCCCATGAGACAGACAGCCCATCAGTATTTGAAGTTTAGAATGTAATGTGACAGAGGTAGAATAGGACAAGCAGAGCAACTGATGAGGCTTTAGCCTCGCTTTTTGGAAAAAGAGTGAGCATGTTTTCTTTTGTGTGAGCAAGATTTACAACCTGTTAAGGATGATGTTGCTGTACTTGTTTTTAGATTGAGTTACAGGATGATGTGGATACTGAGGGCTACAATGGACATGATTATTTTGCACTCTACCTCCTTTCCAATTTGTTTCTAGTGAATAGCCCATTGGATAAAGGCTAAAAATCTAAAAATGGATGTATTCTTTGCAAATAGAGATATTGATACAAATTGGGTTTTATCACTAACATGCCCAAACTAGAGCATGGGATGACAGAAATGCCAAATTCCTGCTGCTTTTTTTTCTATATTTGCTGGCAAGTGGTTAGATTTACTATTCCATATACATACATATATTTATGCGTGGAGACAATTGTAGTGGTGCTTGTGGTGGTGGTGGTGGCGACGGCGGTGGTGGTGGTGACGGTGGTGGTGGTGATGGTGGTGTGGGTGATGGTGGTGATGGTGGCAATGGTGGTGGTGGTAGCAATGGTGGCAGCAGTGGTGGTGATGGTGGCGATGGTGGCAATGGTGGTGGTGGTGGCAGTGATTGTGTTGGTGGCAATGGCAGTGGTGGTAGCGGTGGTGAGGATGGTGGCGATGGTGGTGGTGGTGGTGGCGGTGGCAGCGGCGGTGATGGTGGTGGTGGTGATGGTTGTAGTGGTGGTGGTGATGGTGGCGATGGTGGTGGTGGCGGTGGCGGCACGGTGAAGGTGGTGGCAGCGGTAGTGGTGGTGGCAGTGGCGGTGATAGTGGCAATGGTGGTTGTGGTGGTGGTGATGGTGGTGGTGTGGTGGCGGCACGGTGGTGGTGGTGATGGTTGTGGCAGTGGTGATGGTGGCGGTGGTGGTGGTGATGGTGATGGTGTTGGCGGTGGTGGCGGTGGCAGTGATGGTGGTGGTGGTGATGGTGGTGATGGTGATGGTGGTGGTGGCAGTGGTGGTGGCGGTGGCGGTGATGGGGTGGTGGTGGCGGTGGTGACGGTGATGGTGGTGGTGGTAGTGATGGTGGTGATGGTGGTGGTGGTAGTGGTGATGGTGGTGATGGTGATGGTGGTGGTGGTAGTGGTGGTGGTGGTGATGGTGGTGATGGTGATGGTGGTGGTAGTGGTAGTGATGGTGGTGATGGCGGTGGTGGTGATGGTGGTGGTGGTGGTGGCAGTGGTGGTGACGGTGGTGGTGTTGGTGGTGATGGGGGTGGTGGTGGTGGCAGTGGTGGTGGCAGTGGTGCTGTTGGTGGTGGTGGTAATGGTGGTCATGGTAATGGTGGTGGTGGTGATGGGGGTGGTGGCGTGGTGGTGGTTGTTGCAGTGATGGTGGTGGTGGCTCTGGTGGTGACAGTGTTCTGCAATGCCTTCCTGATACTTGGAGAGAAACCACACTATGGCATGAATGATTTTAACAATAGTTCGAGTGGCAGACTCTAAAGAATATTCTTCCAATAATTTTATAAGCACCAAGTTCTTCTACTAAATATCTTCTCTCCTTAATATACTTTGAATGGTTTCTGTTTCAGGCCCTGAATCCCTGACTGGAAGGAGGCACAGTGATATAAAAAATGTAAGAACTATAGAATGAAAACAGAATACATAGTTTTAAGGCAGTGAATATAAAAGAATAAAAAGAGAAAACCGACTCAATTTAAAAGAAAGTGTGCAAAGAGAAAAGAACTATGAGAAATACATGACAAAAGAAAAGTAAACAATTAGAGTATGCAAAAAAGTTTAAATATAATACTAATAAAATAAAGGAATATAGACAGACTTCTAAATTTACTAGGTTAACACTGACAGTTCAAAGACAATCAGCTATATGCTCTTCACAGAAAAATAACTCAAAATAGATAAAAAGGGGTGAGGCTAGTGTTCCATTAATGGAACGCTAAGTATGTAGGAGTTATTTATATCCTACTGCTTAAAGTCATCGCCAAGGTCTGATGGCAAAAATTCAAAAAATTGCAACCTCGGGCATAAATGGGTTAAAGTATAAACAAAATATATCAAGCAAATGCCAATCAAATGAAAGTTTGGGTAGCCGTTCTTTTATGCACTTAACAATATATGTTCAGCATATATAAATTGACAGAAATACATGGAGACATTAAGAAATACATCAATATAGTGAGATATTTGAAAATGACTTTCACACATAATTAATCCATTGGTCATACACGTGAGCACATACACGAAAACAGTGACAAATACCACATAGATTCAAAGAGCGTAATTGACAAGATGTGTTTGATGGAAATATTAATATAAGGATTCCTACATTCAGCAATTACAGGAAACACATTTTTTACATACATATCATACTTTTTTTTAAAAAAAGTCAATAATAAAAGCAGTCATAACATTTTAAAAAAAGAATAAAAAAATGAAAACCTTAAGTAACAGGCAGAATGCAGTGTGATAGAGTTCAAAGTAAGGATCTAAACGCATTCTTTCGCCTGTGGATTTCTAATGGTCCCAGCACCATTTGTTGAAGAAGACTATTCTTTTTTATTCCCCTGTTGAATGGTCTTGCCGCTCTTACTAAGTATGTTGATGATAAATGTGTGGGTTTATTTCTGCACCGTCAACTCTATTTTATTGATTTATATGTCTATCTTTGTGCCGGTACCAAAATGTCGTGAGCACCACAGCACTGTAGTAAGTTTTGAAATCAGGAAGAGTGAGTCTTCTATTTTGCTCTTCTTTTTAAGATAATTTTGGTTATGTTAGTTCCCTTGCAGTTGTATATAAATTTTAAAATCAGCTTGTAGTTTTCTGTACAAAAGTCATCTGGGATTTGAGGGGGATTTTGTTGAATCTATAGATCAGTTTGAGGAATATTGCCTTGTTAACAGCATTAAGTATCTGATACATTAACATGGAAATTTTTCCTAAATACTTAGGTTTTTTCAGCAATGTTTTATAGTTTTCAGAGAATAAATTTTGCATTTTTAATTAAATTTATTCCTAACAATTTTGTTTTCTTTAAGACTTTTTTCAGTTGAGTTGAAAGTATATAGAAATACAATTGATGTTTTATATTAATTTTTTATTCTACAACTTTGCTGAACTCACTTATTTGTTCCAATAGTTTTTTAGTGGAATCCTTAGGATCAACAAGATTGTATAAACTGTGAATAGAGATAGAATTACTCCTTCCTCTCTATTATAGGTGACTTTTATTATTCTTTCTCTTGTCTAATTCCTCTGGATAGACCCTCTAGCATAATGTTAAATGGGATCGGTGTTAGTGACATCCTTTTTGTGTTCCCAGTCTTAGTGAGTAGGCATCCAGGTGTTCATCACTAAGTATAATGTTAGCCATAGGTTTTTCATAAGTGATCTTTGTTAGGTTGAAAATGTTCTCCTCTATTCATAGGTTGCTGTGTGCTTTTTATAATAAAAATGCATTGAGTTTTGTCAAATGCTTTTTCTGAAACTGTTGAGATTATTATGAAATTTTTGTTTTTTATTCTGTTGATATAGTGTACTACATTGATTGATGTTTGAATAAGCCAGCCTAGAATTCTTTTCATATCTCATTGACCATGGCATATGAATCTCTCTATATGTTGCTGAGTTTGATTTGCTAGTATTTTGTTGAAGATTTTTGCGTCCACACTCATAACAGATACTGTTTCGAGGTTTTACTTCTTTATGATGTCTTTGTCTAGTTTTCATAGCAGGGTAATACTGGCTTCATAAGTTTGGGTATCACAGTAATACTGGCCTCCTAAGTTTGGGTATCACAGTAATACTGGCCTCATAAGTTTGAATATCAGAGTAATACTGGCTTCTTAAGTTGGAAAGTGTCTCTTCCTTTTTCAGTTTTTGGAATAGTTTGTGAATAATTGGCATTAATTCTTTAAATATTTGATAGAATTAAACAGTAAAGCCATTTGTACCTGGGCTTATTTTATGGGTAGGTTTTTTGTTACCTTGTTAATCTTTTCACTTACAGATTTACTCAGATTCTGTAGCTCTTCTTAGTTGGTTTTACTAGTTTGTATCTTTCTAAGAGTTTGCCAATTTCATCTAAGTTATCTAATTTGTCTGTGTATAGTTGTTTATAATATTCCTTTATCTTTTTTATTCAATAAGATCAGTAGTAAATGTCCTCTCTTTCCTTTAAGATTCCAAAAATTGAATCTTCATTTATTTTTCTCCTTTGATCCGACTATCTAAAGGTTTTTCAATTTTGTTAGCTTCTCCAATGAATCAGCTTTCAGTTTTATTAATTTTCCCTATTGTTTTTCTATTTTCTTCATTAGTTTCTGTTCTAATCTTTATTATTTTTTCAGCTCACTGTAAGTTAAGTTTGCTCTTCTTTTTCCAGAATTGTAAGGTAGAAGTTTAAGTTATTCATTTGAGGTATTTCTTTTTCTTAATATAGATATTTTGGAGCTATAATTTTTTTCTCTAACTACTGTTGTAGCTTCATTCAAAAGTTTTAAAATGTTATGTCTACATTTTCATTAATTTCAAAGTATTTTCTAATTTCCCTTTGATTTTTTTATTTGACCAATTGGTTATTAAGTAGTATGTTATTTAATTTTAAATAGTTGTGAGTTCCCTAAATTTTTCCTGCTACTGATTCTAATGTCATTCCATATGGTCAGAAAGTATACATTTATCTCTATCCTTTTAAATGTGTTGAAGTTTGTCTTACAGCCTAGAAGATATCCTAGAGAAAGTTCCATGAGCACCTGAAATGAATGTATATTCTGTTGTTGTTGGATTGAGAGTACTTTAGATATTTGTTAGTTCTATGTAATTTTTGAAGTCTTCTATTTTTTAATCTCCTGTCTAGTGGTTGTATCCATTATTAAATGTTTAGTATTGCAGGTTTCTAGTATTACTATTGAATTTTCTATTTCTCCTTTATTTTCTGTAAGTTTTGTGTAATGTATTTTAGTGCTAGGTTATTAGATGTACAGGTGACTATAAGTATACATTCTTGATGAATTGACCTTTTTATTATTATAAAATATCTATCTTCTCTCATTGTCTCTGGTAACGTTTTTTAAGGTCTATTTTGTCTAATATTACTATAGTCACTCTAGCTTTCTTGTGTTTACTATTTGCATGATATATACGTTTCCGTCCCTTGATTTTCAATCTATTTGTATTTTTGAATCCAAATTGTATTCCATGTAAAGAATATATAATTATATCATATTTTTAAATCTAGGCTGACAATCTCTGCCTCATGATAAGATTGCTTAACCCATTCACATTTTATGTTACTATTGACATAGTTGACAACATCTTCAACTATATTAACTAAAAAATTTTAATTCTGTTTCTATATGTCTCACGTATTTTTTGTTTCTATATTCCTCTTCTGCTTTTTTCGCAGTGAATAGTTTTTGATATAGCATTTTAATTTCTTCAGTGATTTTGTCATTAAACATTTTTGTGTTAATTTTTTTGTTTTGTTTTGGTCATTCCTCTAGAATTTACAACATATATTGTAACTGATCAGAATCAACTTTGGATGTATACTAACCTAGATCCAGTGATATATAGAGATGTTACTCCTATAGAGCTTTATTCATTTTCCCCTATTGTGTTGCATCATTTTATACATATTACATCTATTAATGTTACAATTCCAGTAATAGGTTGTTATATTATTTTACCACATGCAGCCATTTCCTTTGCCTAATATAGCATTTCCTCATCTATCTTCTCTGTGTTATTATTGCTAAATATATTACACATGTAACTTTTCTATATGTTATAGTATCAACAATACATTATATACATATTATTTAATACATATATTTTATTATATATTTGCTTTTTATATATATTATATAAATAAATATATATATAATATATTTGCTTTTTATAAATCTGTAAAGGGACGAAAAGAGGAAAAAGCATGCCTGTAAACTCTCTTGTATAATAACATAGCTAGATGAATTGTTTTTTTTTTGTTTTGTTTTTGTTTTTTGAGACGGAGTCTCGCTCTGTCGCCCAGGCCGGACTGCGTACTGCAGTGGCGCAATCTCGGCTCACTGCAAGCTCCGCTTCCCGGGTTCACGCCATTCTCCTGCCTCAGCCTCCCGAGTAGCTGGGACTACAGGCGCCCGCCACCGCCCCCGGCTAATTTTTTGTATTTTTAGTAGAGACGGGGTTTCACCTTGTTAGCCAGGATGGTCTCGATCTCCTGACCTCATGATCCACCCGCCTCGGCCTCCCAAAGTGCTGGGATTACAGCTAGATGAATTGTTGCACTTTGTTTTTTCCTGTGAATTTTTATTACCAGTGGAATCACTTGCTTTCAGCCAGAAAAACTTTTAGTATTCTTTGGCAAATATACTAACAGAAAATTATTTCCTTTTACGTTTATGTAGGAAAGTCTTTTTTACCTCCATTTTTTAAAGATTCGCTGGACTTAGAATTGTTGGCTGTTTTTTCCTTAGAGCACTTAGAATATATTACCCCACTGCCTTCTGTCCTTTAATGTTTACACTCAGGACACAACAGTTAATCTTAGTGAGCTTCTTCTCTAAGCAATGCATCATTTTTGTCTTGCTCCTTTCATAATTGTCCATGTCTTTGATATTCAGCACTATTACTATGATGTGTTTATTTGTAAATCTCTTTGTGTTTCTCCTGCCTGGGGTTTGTTCGGCTTCCTAGTGAAGGAAATCAAAATATTACACCCCAAAATATGGCTCATTTATATAGTAAATATTTTGAATTAAAAATCCTTGGACAACAACAAGCACCAGAAGAAATTTTTCCTTTGTGTACATAAAAATAGTACTAACCCACCAAAGAGAACAATTTTCCTTCCATTCCCTGTAATCTTATTATCTGTTATAGGAAAGAAGACCAAGAATGTAACCACAACTGTTCAAGTCTTTCTTCAAGAGATTGATTGTTTCCAAGCTTCGTTTAAATTCCAGAGAGCAATTTACAATTAACTTCTGTTTCCCAGTCTAATAATTGTTCCTAGTGATCATTTATTGTTCCACAGTAGAATTCCTTTTCTCCAGCTTCCATGACTTGTCTTACCAGGATCCAAGGCTTCAATCTTTCTATAACCTCAAGATTGTATGTAAGTTTATATAACTCATCGAGAAGTTGCTTCTTCATTCGTAAGGCTCCTGTGTAAACACGTTAAACAAATCGATGTGCTTTTTCTCCTGCTAGTTTCTCTGCCTCATGTCAGTGATTTCTCAGCGAAGCTTTACAGGGACAAAGGCCTTGGTGCCCACACTGGATGTGCAATTTGTTTGTCGATAAATGAGGGAAGTTTTCACACATTATTTATTTGAATATCTTTTCCACTCCTTTGACTTTCTTCTCTCATTTTGTTGTTTTCGTTATGCATGTATGCATTAGTGTGCTTAATAGTGACCCTCATTTCTCCAAGGCTCACATTATTTTTCTTTATTCCTTTTTCTTTCTGCTTTTTGGCTTACAAATCTCTGTTGGTCAGTCTTCAAGTCTGCATAGACTTTCTCCTGCCAGTGTAAATATATTCTTGAGGCCATCTAATGAAGTTTAAACTTTTTAGTTATCGAATTTTTTTTTTTTTTTTTTGAGTCAGAGTCTTGCTCTGTCACACAGGCTAGAGTGCAGTAATACAATCACAGCTCACTGCAGCCTTGACCTCTTGGGCTCAAGAGATCTTTCCACCTCAGCCTCCAAAGTATCTGGGACTACAGGCATGTACCTCCTCACCTGGTAATTTTGTCAGTTTTTGTAGAAATAGGATCTCGCTGTGTTGCTGAGGCTGGTCTTGAACTCCTGGGCTCAAGCAATACACCTGTCTCAGCCTCTCAAAGTGCTGGGATTATAGGCCTGAGCACCTGGTCTACTATATTTTTTAAATCCAGGATTTTCATCAGGTTCTTCTTTTATAATTTGTCTACTTATTAACAATCTGTATTTGATACAAGAGTGTCATTATACCTTGCCTTACTTCCTTAATAATGGTTTCCTTTGGTTCTGTGAACATGTTTATAATGATTCTCTTGAATAATTTTTCTGATATATCTGATACGTGGTCAACCTCAAAGACAATTTCTGTTGCCTTTTTTCTTAGTTTTGGGGTTATATTTTCTTGTTTTTTATCAGAATTTTTTGTTGAAAACTGGACATTTTAAACAGTATATTGTAGAATGTCTGGGTATTATTTATTTTGCCCCCACCCCCCCAGGATCTTTGAATGTTTTCACTTTTTTATTTGTTCTGTGATGGGCTAGATTATTTGCATAAACTTGACCTTTTCTTCCACAGGTTAAAACTCGTGATATTAAATCTAAGGGAGGTGCAGCTTTGCATCTGCCTACAGTCATCCTGGGATGGCAATTGTTTGGGTTAATTCTCTTCCTCTCTTTCCTTGACTATACAAAGCTGTCACACTCTACTAATTGCCCATTAATTCAACAAGTGTTTTCAACAATGCCTTAGAGCATACATTCTTCTACAACCAATCCAGTCAAATTAGAATTCTTTTGAAAATGGTTTCCAAGGTCAGTGTTAGATACTTGTTTTGACCCCAGTAGGGGTTATCGGAGCAGCCTTGTTCCCCAGTTCTGTCCTGCAGAGTATATTACTTACAGATTAGCTTGTATCTTGAACCTGCTCTCAACTCTCCCTCACTACAACTTCCACTGTTCTTCAGACAACCCTTAGGCTTGAGTTTCTCTACCCTCTGCTTCAAATGAATTCAGACTTTTGGAAAGAGATTAGGAGGTATGTGCTTTATGATCTGCTTCTCTCCCCAGACAAAAATCTCTGAACAAGCACTCTGGACGTGTGGCTGTGCACAATATCAAGGTTTTCTTTGAGGACAGAGAGAAACTCCTGCTCTAGAAGCTAAGCACTGGGTGGAGAGTGGGGCAACATCCTGAGGACCTCTCAGTTTGCCTCTCTTGATGTGGAATCACTGCCTTTGAGCCAGGGAAAGGGTGATGAGGGCCCAGTTTTCTTAGCTGACTGTACTCAAGGTGAAACCTCTGATCCACTAGTAGAACGAGGTGGCGTAAGAGACCTCCCCTACCTGTCAACTATGCTTGCCCAGAACTTAGCCCCAGCAAAAAGTAGGTGTGGCAGGATGAGAAATTCTGATGTTTTGGTCCTCGGAGAAGAAATCCCTCTAACTGATTTCTGGTGGGAAAGGAAGCCCTGTATTCCTGACTGCAGCTCTGTTAAGTAGAGTATGCAAATCAATGAGCTAGGAGACAGGAGACAGGGAGAAGACTCGGGTCAAATACCACAGACTCTACTTTTTACTGAATCTTTATAGATTTCCTTGATTAGATGTGTAAAAGGAATATAAAAAATCTCAGGACCCCAAACTCACTAGGCCAATGGGAAAAGTTAAGCTTGGGAACAGAAATATAAAAAAACTGCCTTCTATTTTGTTCCTAAATAGATAGATACAAAAATAAAAAGGCCACGTATCTCCCCAGATAGCCTCCCTCACAACCTGCTAAAAAGGAAATTCCTTGTGGGCCCTAAGATTTTTACCACAAAACAGAGTTCTGTTGACTTTCACCCTGACTGTAAATTAACAGCTTATTTTTCCAGGTACAGGACAAAGATGGGACTAGATGTCAATCCTCCACTCACCTAAGACAGATGCCTATTTGACTGCTTCCTCTACTCTGTGTATACTTCATCTTATATAAAAATTTAGATTCACTGAGTGTGAGACAAATGCATAATTGACTGTTGTACTGCCCTCCTTTCACATGGAAGCTGTGAATTCACTAAGCACTCATCAAAGTCCCAAAAGAATGGAACTCTTTGCCTTTTTTGTCCTTCTTTCTTTACTTTCCTCTTTCCCTATTTCCCACTCTTTTCCCTTTCAGTGTTGAAGTCCTAAAATCCTCTTTGGAGAAAGGATGAATCACAAATGTTCCTGTGATTTGTTGTTCCTTTTTCCTGGACGTGTCCTCAACTTTGGCAGAATAAACCTCTAAATTGATTGAGACTTGCCTCAGTCATTTTCTTTGTCTTATATATGTTTCTTCATTCGCTGTTTTCTCTTAGCATGATTTCTAGAGACTTTAAATAGCTGTTTATATTTATTTATTTATAATTTTTGCCAGTTTCACTACGGAGCAGTCAACAGAGCTCCTAACACCATTGTGCCTGCAGTTAATCTCCTTTACCAGTGTTCCTTGACATACATCAGCAACAGACATAAAATAAGATTTAAAATATAAAGTGCTTGTAATTTCTATAAAAATATTAGCCACCTAGGAATGCAACTAGCAAAAAAATGAATGTGCCATTTGTGAAGATATAAAATTTTATTGTAAGACAACACAAAGTCCTAAATAAACACATGTATTTATAGATAATTGGTACATTATAATATACATGTCAAATCTCCCCAAATTGATCTTCAGATTTCAATGCAATTCCAATCTCAATATTTGTAGCACTCGAAAAGATAATCTTTGAAATTACAATGTAATTTTACATTTTTTTTTAAAAAGTTTAAGTGGAAAAGCTGAAGAAGGTGTTTTGAATAAGATATTTTATATGATAAGTAACACATTAAGAGACACACACCATGTACAATAAAGAGGTATGTCAAAAGAACACAGGAATCAATCAAAGGCCCCCCAATGACCTGAGCTGGAACAGATTAAGCAAGCAAAGAAATGAAATAGTAGTGGATAATATTCTAATAATAAAGAAATATATATGAGTCTATACTGATATAAAAGGAGGAAAAATAATTAAGTATGGATGGGTAACTAATGTCCCATGCAGAAAAACTTCAAATAATGGATGTAAGTACATCCATTATTGTGTGAGTGTATATATATATATCCATATATATATATATCCATATATATCCATATATATATATATCCATATATATATATATCCATATATATATATATATATATCCATATATATATATATCCTTCATCCTCAAGGAGATAGAAAATAACTTCCCCTTTCTTAGGCATGGGCTGCATACAGTGTTCTCTTTCCAAAGAGTCCAGTATGGGAAGGAGGGAAAAGATTAACTTTATGGTGGAGAAACTTTATAAGTACTGCCTCAGCAAGATTATCAAGGTTAACATAGTATATTATAATGTGTATATATTTATACACACAATTGATGTAATATATAATATGTAATATAAAATAACTACAATGGGTAATATATCTCATTGTATATAATATATAAATACAAAATTGATGAGAAATGCAAATGGCAAGAAACATATAACAGGTGCTCAATATAGTTAATAATTAGGCAAATATAAAACTAACACTGAATTACTCCTTTTACTGTACACCAGACTAGCAAAAATTAGTAATCTGGAAAAAACAAGTTCTATTGATGATGAGAAGCCATTATAACTCTTAGTTAATGCTGAAAGAAATGGGGATTTGGTATAACCACTTTGGAAAGCAATTTGCATTATTTCATAAAGGTCCTATATTTGTAAAATACTACATGAAATATACAATAATTACTGTAAATATCCTGGTGAAATTCTGTCATATTATCTCCAGGGAACATTTATCAAAAAAAAAGGTTTTTTTTGCAGTATTGTTCTTTAAAATATCTTTCTGAAACAACTTAAATGACCAGAATAGATTTCAAAACTCGTAGTCTCAATAAAATAAAATAAGACAACAAAAAGTAATGTCAATTTTAACAAAAGAAAGTCAAAGAAAAATGCGTGGAACATGCAACCACATTTGTAATTCTCCCAAACAAATAAATCAAGTAATACATATACGGGTAAGAACTTTGTTAATAATGTAAAATAAAACAAATATGTGTCAACAAATCCAACAGTGTGTGTACATTAGGTGAAGGAAAACAAGAGGATAAAAATTGGGGAATAACACAAAAATATGTCTTGTATATTTTTTAAACTCATTTTTTGAAAATAAATGGTTTTTGCACAATTCTAAGTTGGACAGTTGGATTAGGGGTACTTCTTGCATTATATTGCTTTCCTATCCATCCTTTCTCACATATATGTTTCTATTTTTAAAATATTACACAATGAAATTTCAAATTGAATATGATGCTTGCTGAATTTAGAAGTACTGCCATTCAAGGATATTTTTGTTATAAACAATAAGAACATTTATTTTAAAAAAATTAATAGCATTTTAATTATATTACTTTCAATTATATGAAAACAACTAGAGGTCCTTCACAGCAGCAGTCCGCAACCTTTTTGGCACCAGGGACCGGTTTTGTGGAAGATAATTTTTCTATGGATGGAGGAAGGGGTGATCATTTTGGGATGAAACTGTTTCACCTCAGATTATCAGACATTCGATTCTTATAAGGAATGTGCAACCTAGGACCCTGGCACGTGCAGTTCACAGTAGGGTTTGCGCTTCTAGGAAAATCTAATGCCCCAGCTGATCTGACAGGAGACAGAGCCCAGGCCGTAATGCTAGCTTGCCTGAAGCTCACCTCCTGCTGTGTGGCCAGGTTCCTCACAGGCCACCAACCGGTACCAGTCCGTGGCCAGGGGGTTGTGTACCCCTGCTTACAGTTTCCTTCATCTGATAACCATGCCCTTGAAAAAAAATGTGTTTATTTATTCAAACATTTTCGTAAAAATAATTTCTGGTGCAATTCAAATTTTAAAATACTTAATGAAGTTATTTTGTGAGGACAACTTTTAAACCACTGTAAAGGAAGAATTTTCATTTTAAAAAATTATATATTTCCTACTTTAAAAAAGACTTTAAGACCCTTAAATAAGTCATTCTTTAATTATAATTAAAGTAGCAAAGCAATAGTTTTAGACAAGGTAATGTCTTTTTTAAAATGCTATCACTTTTCCTTCTTTTCCTACAATCAATTAAATAGAAGTATTATCTTTTGTAGAGATAAGATCACTTCATAGTCGATAAATGCAAGAATACAATTTAGATTTAGTTAATGAGGCATGACTGCTCAACTAGCGAATGGATTCTATTTTCACTTAAATTTTTTTTAGTTTTCTAATCTACAGTTTGTAATTTGTTTTACAACTTATTTTTCAAAGTAACGTATCTATTAAACTTACTAAAAGAAGAGAAAAAAACAAGAATCGGATCTTCCGATTTAACTCTGGATAAAGTTAAATTTAGAAACAGCTTGAGAAGAAAGATTTTAAATCAGCTAAGCTAAGATAAGATATATTTAACAAGGAATATTTGTTGTTTTTGTTCACATTTAATTAAAATAAAATAAATTATTTTTCACCACCTTCATTTCCATCTGACTTTGTGTTTCTTTCAGACCTGTGGCCAAACAAGGTACTATCACATTGCAGAGAACTACTACATAAGAAATATTTTCAATTCTAATATTTTTACACTCTGAATAAAACCTTCTGTTTTCACACCTCCAATTCTATTTCTTAATTTCAACCTAAGCACTAGTCACCAAAACATCCAAACCAGTATAGTAAACCCATTCCTGATGGTTCAATTTCCTTTCTCTTCTCCTTCTGGTTCACTTTCTTATACAATGTAAATTTCAAGATTTGCCATTTCTATGATCCTTTAGTTATTCCCCATAATATCTTTAGAGAAATATCACAGTGTTGGTAGAAAATATCTTCTAGCATGAACAAACAGTGAGTCTAAGTATAATGATATCACAGTGGGGCTAAGTATAATTGTATCAATATATGGATCTGTGCTATACAGGTTCTTTACGTCTATTTACTTTTTTGTTGGTTTCCCAATAGATTGGAATAATATCTAAACAGAGAATGTTGATCTTGTTTGCTATTGACATTTGAATATTTACCCAAATAACTAAAATGTAGCAGACTCTTTATAAGTTTCTCCATAAATGTATTTTTATTCTAATAAATGTTAGTGAGGCTGAATATTTTGTATGCCTATGATTCATCTTTTATTTATTAATTTTTAGATTGTCTTTTCTTGGAGCACACATGTAAAATATGATAGGACACTTGATATTTTGTCATGAATATTTTCACATTATGAAGCTTAAAATATAGACTATAATATTATTACCTTTATTTACTTATTATTTTATGTGCAGAAGTTTATTTTTATTTTTTAAATAGTCAAATATGTTCATTGTCCTTTTTCTGTGGTTTGGTGAATTAGTTATATAATGAAAAAATCTATTCTTATCTAGATACAATATGAATACTCCATATTATTTCTTGAATTATTTATAGTTTACTCTTCTTAGATGTAATAATTCAGTGAATTCAAAAAGTATTTTATGTAAACTCTGTATTAAAAATATTATTTTTACCCCAAAAGTTATATTTTCAAATAATAAATATATATATATTTTTCTCTATCTTGGAAATGCCTAATCTTAGAAATGATCAAATAATATTTATTGAGAAATAGTTTCTTTAACATCGATTCAAGTTGCTTTAGACATTATTATTTTGCCTATCATTCATCCCTCAGGTTTCTGTTTGGATGCTAATTCTTCTTTACCATCTTCCTGGACTTTTACTTCCTTCTTCCCCATGTGCAGGCCGACTTGGCACAGAGATCTTTTATTGTAAAATATATCTCTAACAGTTCATTTAACCCAATGTGTAATGTTAGTGTTTTTATGTTTCTGTCTCCACTGAATATATTTTGAAAGCAGGAAGTGTGCAGATTTATCGCTTTTTCCCATTTTCTAGAATAGTGACTACCATACAACAGATCAATAAGTGCTTCATGAATGGAGGGCAATATGAAATCTAGCTATAATTTATCATCAATTGAATAACATGTAGGCACCTCAAAATTAACTTAAAACAGAATTCATACTTCACTCAAAGACCTATTTCTTCTAAAAAATCTTCCTTGTGGGAAGTAATAGCACAAATTACAGTTACTTTTCTAAAGCTGAGGACTGTAACTCAACTTTGCTCCCCATCTTTCTTTACAACATGTGCCCATTCACTTTCCAAGTATTACCTCTCTGATCTATGTGGATATTTTTTTTTCTGTCTTATCCACCCAATTCTCTTCATCTCCATAATTATTGCTTTATTGCAACTATTGTCTTTTCTGGTCTGGATTACAGCAATGAGCCTTTAAACTAGGCTTTTTTCCTTCCTAGTACCATAACGTCCATGCTGACATAGAATTACTCTTCTAAATAATTTTCATGCCACTTGTCTCTCAATTACTACTATTTACCATGTGCATGCCTGCATCTTTATATTACTTAATGCATTGAACAGAATCCAAAGCATTAATACACTGTTACACCTTAAATTAAAACCTACTTGAGGCATAAAAAAAATTTATTTATCTTTGTAATCCCAAGTCTTAGCACAATGACAAGACATGATACCTGCTTTGTATGTGCTTCTGACATAAATTAACATGGAAGAAAATCCACCAGTTATAAATATACATATGCATACCTTAATTATTCATCCCTATAAAATTCATTCAATTAATATTTGTTGATCTTCTTTGATATTTAAAGCAGTGTGTTAATAACGTAGTATTGACAACAGTGAATGACATTTGATGTACACCATGCACCCAGTGAGAGAGATTAAACAAAAATTCATAACTTGAATAGAGTGTGAGGAGGTCTATGATTTGAACTGCAGAGAGTGCTAAGGGAGAATATCAGAAGAGTAACTAATCAGGTCTTTTTTGGGTTTCTTTGAGACAGAGTCCCGCTCTGTCACCAGGTTGGAGTGCAGTGGTGCGATCTCAGCTCACTGCAACCACCTCCTTCCAGGTTCAAGAGATTTTCCTGCCTTAGCCTCCCGAGTAGCTGGGACTACAGGCATGCGCCACCATGCCCAGCTAATTTTTGTATTTTAGTAGAGATGAGGTTTCTCCATGTTGGTCTTGATCTTGGTGGTCTTGATCCTGGTGAACATCCTTGATCATCCTTGATCACCAGGATGGTCTTGATCTCTTGGCCTCATGATCCCCTCAACTCGGCCTTCCAAAGTGCTGGGATTACAGGATCACCTTGATCACCAGGATGGTCTTGATCTCTTGGCCTCATGACCCCCTCAACTCGGCCTTCCAAAGTGCTGGGATTATAGGCAAGAGCCACCACCCCCAGCAGATCAGGTCTTTTAGTGTTATGCTCAAAGAAATGTAGGCATTTTAGTATGGCCAGAGAATGGAGTGCACTATGGGCACTGTGGAGATTTACTTGGAGTTCATATAGTTTACAGCCTTGTAAGCCGTGTTAAAGAGTGTGATTGTCAACTACAGTATCAATGCAGAGCCACTGAACAAGAAAGACTTTAGTAGGTGAGTAGCGGCTGACTGAATATGGGTTTTTATTAGCTGGTTTTTCCAAAAAATAGGCTCTGAGATGGAGAGATGTCTTAGAAAGTTGTGGATTATGTGAAGTCGTGAAGAAAGCAAATCAAGGAGAATAAAATTTCAGAGCCTATTAAAGCTTTAGAGATAAGATGACCCTTCAGCATTTTCTGAATGGGAGGATTTGGCCTTTGTACCTATCCAGTTGGAGGTGGACTGATGATGCCAGAGAGAAGGCATAATGTTCAGCTGGAGGCCATCCTGGAGAGGGACTCGGTTTCCTGCTATGAGCAAGCAACACTTCTAGAAGCTGGGAAATGATCACCTCTTTCATTGTCAGTGGAGTGTGGAAAGAGGAGATCTGGGTGGCAATTTGTGAAACAGTTTACACAACAACCTCATATTCACTCCCAGTACATGGTCAGAGTCACTTAACATAACAACAAAGGTCTCAGTTAAAACCACAAGGAGTGCTAGAGCTGGCATGGATCTTCACTCTTGTCTCAAAATGAGGCAAGGAGGTCAGAAGGACAAATAGATGCATCAACTATTCAAGTAGACATAGGCTGCTTCCAGCAAAGGGGCTTAATATTGGGAGAGGCAGTTCCTTTGAATAGTCAGAAAGCTATTTCCCAAAAAGGTGGTTAGCTGCGAGGAGGCAGCAGGCAATAATCCTGGAAGCAGGAATAATGGGCTCTTTGGTTTCAGAAGGGAAATGGGGGCAGCGCACTACAGCACCCACTGCAGATTGGATGGGTTATCTACGGGGCAGGTCCATTTCAAAATGAGAAAACAAAAACTGCAGAGTGGCTAGATCAAATATAGACACTTCTTTAATGAATTGTTAATATAAAATAGGATAAATACATATTTTTCAAAAATAGTAAAAAATAGTGGATAGAATTAATGAATTTCTAAATCTATTTTTAATTGTAAGAATGGATGAGATTAGATGTGTAGGGACTGGCTGTGAATAGCTCAGAGAAGCTGAAACTATCAGTATCTTTTGAGAGGAGTGTGGTAGTGACAATGAGTCACTCTTGGAACCCTATGAGTCACTCTTGGAAAAAGGAGGTGATGCAAAGAATTGGTTTGCAATTTGCTTTTAGAGTACAGTTGATTTTGAAGATCAGTGTGTGCCATGGCATAAAACGTGTGCTGCTGCTGTGATTTTTTTTTTTTTTAAATGGAGTCTCACTTTGTTGCCCAGGCTAGAGTGCAATGGCTCAATCTTGGCTTACCGCAACCTCCGCCTCCTGGGTGCAAGCGATTCTCCTGCCTCAGCCTCCTGAGTAGCTGGGATTACAGGCATCCACCACCACACCCAGCTAATTTGTATTTTTAGTAGAGTCAGGGTTTCTCCACATTGGTCAGGCTGGTCTCGAACTCCCGACCTCAGGTGATCTGCCCTCCTTGGCCTCCCAAAGTGCTAGGATTACAGGCATGAGCCACCACATTCGGCCCTGTGATTTTTTTTGTATCTTAAATAACTTTGGTTAATGTTGTTATACAAGCATAGAATCAAATGATTGGATTGACTCAGGATGAGATTTGACAAAACACATGAGAAGGTCCAATAATGAGCTACAGTAGTTGACTTACTGACAAAAATAGAGCTGGATGAAGCTTGAGTAGGGAAGGAAAGAAAAGCCAGAAGAACACTGAGAAATTCTGAGGAAATATACAGGTTAAGAGACTGAGAATTCAATGACATTTTTAAAATGTAGTAGGAGCAATAGTTCATAAAATCACAGATTGAACACCTTTGTTTTCTTCTTATTGATGGTGACAATGATAACAGGATGACCTACATAAAAACGCTTAACCAGGCCGGGCATGGTGGCTGACGCCTGTAATCCCAGCACTTTGGGAGGCCAAGGTGGGCAGATCATGAGGTCAGGAGTTCGAGACCAGCCTGACCAACATGGTGAAACCTTGTCTCTACTAAAAATACAAAAATTAGCCAGGCGTGGTGGCGGATGCCTGTAATCTCAACTACTCGGGAGGCTGAGTCAGGAGAATCACTTGAACCCAGGAGGCAGAGGTTGCAGTGAGCTGAGATCATGCCATTGCACTCCAGCCTGGGCAACAGAGCAAGACTGTCTCAAAAAAATATATATATATAAATAAAAAAGAATACTTAACCAAAACTATATGTAAATAAAATCTCCTCTTTACATATATGGGAGAAATTAGTCAGTTATACAAAATGTTGACTGAAAGAGAGACAAAAGTAGAACAAGAATTTTGTATGGACATTTAATGGAAATATGCTAGAATATGCTCAAGTGAGCTGAAAGATAAACAGGACTTGGATATTACAAAGTATTCAACATGGATTATCACTTTTATCACTACATATTCTTCATTTTTATAGTTCAAGGTACAATTACTTGTCTCATAAAAGTATAATTTAGGATAATATTAACCTGAATTACATAAGAAACTGCAAATATAATTGCATTTTATTCTTCAATATCTACTTGATTTCTGCTCTGAAAAGATGTTAAGGATAGAAATTTTAGGTTTATAAACTCTGAAGAAGTTATTATGAATATGAATAAGTTATTACTAGCTAAATTTAAAGAAAAAATAAATTGAATTAATTTTGATATCAGTTCCTTTATGGTAAAAATATTGGTTAATGTATTGGATGCTAGTGTTGACTACGTCAAAATCCTGTTGTGTAAATGAGTTTCTATGACATTAACGGGATATAATAGAATTTGATAAATGATAAATAATAAAAATGAACAAAAATGGGGAATTTATGGTCATGTAGATCTCTAACAAATGAGTTATAACCATTACATATATATGGTTTGCTCCACACTGTCAATCAGTTCTGTGTTGTATGGTGATAGGAAATAATGGCTGCTTTTGGAAAGGTAACACATACATGGGGTATATGTATATCGCATTTGTAACATCACTTTGAATCTATTTATAGCTTTTCCAGAGTTTCATTAAGCATCTCTTCACAAAATAAAATAAATAATAACTGTCTTCATTTCTCACAAATGCCTTTTGGTAATTGTTTCTCTCTAGGAACTTAACAGGATCTTCTCATAGGTTTTACGAACAATGCCTTCCTTCTTTCATTGGGCTAGTTCTGTGTCATCTTTGCTCCAGCACAGGAAGCTCATATTTTTTACAAATTGCCTATACTCTGTTAAGGTCTACAAATGTATGACATATGTAACAAGCCCACGTATGCTCTTTGTAGTTGTGCTGGGTGGGTTTGCAGAATTTCCTGGACTGATGTAAATAAATTGTAAAGTAGAATTCTACTGTTGGTTATACACCATTATACTATATTGAATTTCCCATCATAGCATCCAGGATTTGCTCCTTCTTTCATGTCATAATATTTCATTGATTAATTTATTCACTTATTTGTTACAAATTAATTGAATATCTAAATGTCTCAGGCATGTTCTTAGGCACTTTTAAAAAACTGACAAGTGAAGACAGATATACCAGCCTTTGGGAAACTTATAAAATAATAAATATCCTAGATAAATTCTAGATAAAAGCAAATAAAAGTAGAAATTTCAACTGCAATAAATTCCACAAAAGATAAGTATATGGTGCTATCAGATAATGCAATTAGCAAATTTCGCCAAATCATGGAGATTCAGGGAAGGATAGAAGGGGAAGAAGGAGAAGGGAAATGAGAAGGAGAAAGGATTAACCTGTAGTAGAACTCTATGATGGTAGAAACATGTCTTGTACAGAAGTGAGAAGGTGAGTGTGAAATGAACTTACAAAGTGCAGGTAGCATAATGTGATATAAGAACAAAACCCAAAAGTTCTAGTGTAGTAGTGGAGTGAAGAGTGCATATTGCCTTATAGGCCTTGATAAAAAATTTTATGACTACGTTAAGAAAAACAGGAAGCTATTAAATGTTTTTCAAAAGAGGCAGGAAGAATCTTTATGATTTTTAACGAATAGATTATTCTGGCTGCCTGTGAAGAGTGGAAGAAAATCAGAGAGAATGGAGGCAATTCAGCTAAAGTATTACTGCACCAGTTAACAACAGAAAAAAAGTACTTGGACTAAGTGGGAGTGATAGAAATGAAGTGGAAGATTTTAATAAATATTCAGGAGATACGAAAGACAAAATTGGTGATTGAGTAGAAAAATAGAGTGACGAGAATGGAGGATTTAAGAATGAGGCCTAGGGACAGTGGTGAATTCACAAAAAGTAATCTGCAAGAGAATCACATTTGATTAAAAAGCTAATGAGTTTGATTTTTTATTTACTCTGAGGCATCTATGGGATATTTAAGAGTGGGTATAAAATGATATAAAAGGAATTTGTAAACAACATAGAAAGTAAAGATATTGTACCATGAAAACCACAGAAACACAGAAATAATATTTTGAAAGAGGCAGGCTGGGCGCGGTGGCTCATGCCTGTAATTCCCGCACTTTGGGAGGCTGAGGCAGGTGGATCACTTGAGGTCAGGAGTTTGAGACCAGCCTGGCCAACATGGTGAAACCCTGTGTCTACAAAAAATATAAAATTAGCCAGGTGTGGTTTAGTGTGCCTGTAGTCCTAGCTACTCGGGAGGCTGAGGCACGAGAATCGTTTGAACCCAGGAGGGTTGCAGTGAGCCGAGATCATACCACTGCATTCCAGCTTGGGCGACAAGAGCAAAACTCCATCTCAAAAACAAAAAAAATATTTTGAAAGAGGCCACAATATTGGATGCTATGGTAGCTCCAACAGCGTGATGACCCATTGCATTAAATGACATGGAGGTCGTGGTTCACCTTAGCAGGGTTGCATGTTGAAATGAAAGCAGTGAAACTCAGACAAAATCGGTTAAAAATAAATGTTTGAGGATTTCATTCCCACTAACACCAATGTTTTATTACTAATATGTCTAATGAAATGGAAGAACAAGTAGACATATTGTCACTAATATTATCAGCTTGTGTCATGTGTCACATTCCAAAATCATAGATAACAGGTAGGAAAATATACATATTTTGATACTACAGATGAGAAATCTGAAGTTGAGATAAATTAATTAAATTTCCTGAATTTCTTTTTGGTTTTAGCTACTTACAAAGCTAGAATTTAAATACAGATCTATCTGGTTTTAAATAGTCTGCCTTCAATATGCCTTTTGACCTCTCTGTTAATTAAATGAAGTTCTGAAACATTGCTGTAGTAGCAGAAGTTGATATTCTTAAGCAGAATAACTCACACATTTTTGTTATATGTCTCCTTCCATTTCTTTTGTGTGTGTGTGTGTGTGTGCATGTTAATTACAGCCCCAATCTTCAATGCCGTCTTAAGAATTAAAGAATAATGAAATTCATATCATATACTTAGGAATAGAGAGTATGCAATAGGCCATGCATCACATAGAAAATAACTTACAGATAAAAATATTTACTAATAAGAAAAATAGCAGAAACCCTCCAAGCAGTTATGAGCAAGGGTGGTAAAATCAAAGTTTTAAAGGACTTAAATTTCACTTAGCCTGAGGTTCCATGGCTTGACTTATTGAGCAGGGATTATGACTTTATCACTGACATTTTTGTGATTATGTATTAAAGGTGGCAGTAGAAGCATGAAATCATTTCTGATGACCAGTCTAGAAATATGTATTTCTTAAATTCTCAATCCTTTATAAAATCCCATTTGACAGATGCTGCTTAAGTTTAGACACTATCTTTTCATAATAACTTTGATTTTTTAAAGGTACATAGATTATACAAATGTAGCAATCTAAAGCTTTCTCTTTATACTTATAGAAGAGTAGTACTGAAAGAAAGAGGAAATGTGCTTCAGATATAATCTTTAAAATCTTCAAAGGGAAATAATTTTAAACATTATTATAATTTAAATCATGGTTACACTACCATTTTTAGTAACTTGTATTTAAAAAACTATTTCACGGAATGGATTTGTTTTTTCATCTCAATACTGCAAAAACTGCTTATTTACATTTTATCTGAGTTGTAGAGTGTGATTTTGGAAGGCATTTTAATGTAATCTTTAGGCTGTTTCTTAAATAGTTATGAAAGTTGGCATCTATCTTTATTGAGTTTATATTTCATGAATCACTGATTTATTATAAAATGGTCCAGTGCAAACCATCTCACAAATTTCATTGGTGCATTTCTAAATGGCACCATTTTGTGTTGTATTCTATAGCCTCTTCTTACTGAAAACATCATGTACTGTATTTGTGGGTGCCTACCCAATATAAATCAGCAAATTTATTGGTCCAAAATAGACTCTTGATGACTTTTAATTACACCTGAATGTATCAAATGTACTTATCACTTACTAGTACCGAAGTTTGTGCTTCTATTTGGAAGACTGTAAGATAGCTATCAACAAAATTATAAAGCAATTTAACATATGAAAATTAATAATAAGCCCTCCCACCATTTGAGAGACAATGTCTATACTTCTTTCTAAATGATTATAGTCTATTTTGCATTTGACTTGTGTTTTGTTGATGAAAAGAGCAAAATCTGTAAAATATTTGAAGAGATTTATTCTGAGCCAAACATAAGTGACCATGGCATGAGGCAGAGTCTCTGAGAACATGTGCGCAAGGTGGTTGGGTGGCAGTTTGGTTGTATATGTTTTAGGGAAACCTAAGACATCAATCAATACATGGGAGGTATACATTGGTTTGGTCTGGGAAGGTGGGACAACTCGAAGTCAGGGTGGGTTGAGGAGGCTTAGAGATCATCAGTGGATTCAAAGATTTTCTTATTGGCAATTGGTTGAACAAGTTATTATTTAAAACTTCAATCAATAGAAAGGAATTTCTGGGTTAAGATAAGGGGTCTTGAAGATCAAAGTTCTTATTATGTAGATGAAATATCATAGGTGGCCACCCTTAGAAATAATAGATGGCAAATGTTTTCTATTCTCACTTTTTCAGGTGTTAGACTATCAGTCAGTCTCTTCAGGACTGCGAGGATCTGGAAGAGAAAAGACCTAGTTATGTTAAGAGATTCTTTACAAATGCAAATCTTCTCCCAATAAAAATAAAAATGGCTTTTCAGGGCCACTTCAAAATATGGCAAAGAAACATATTTTGGGGCTAAATATTTTGATTTCCTTCTTTATCTGTCATGTGATGTGATGCCAGAGTCAGCCTGGAAAGTAAGCCACTTTATATAAGGTTAGACAGAACCATCTGATGAGATTTTCTGATTTTTAGGGCATGACTCCCCAAGCCCCTTAGATGGGAATTTGGGCAAGAGAGAAAAAAGGTCAGAATTTAGTACTTGGATTTATAGTTTGCGTATTAGTTATCTCATCTGATTCTCAAACAACTCTGGGACACAGGGAGATAGAAATTAATTCCTTTACAGATGCGGTAAAAGAGGTTTAGAAAGTTCATATTTAAATAAAGTTCATATTTAAATTTGCTTATGTGTGTGTGTGTGTGTGTGGGTGTATCTGTGTGTGTATGTATGTGGGTGTAATTATGCTTCTTAAAAGTTAGAATTAAGATTTGTAGCGAACAAGACTGCTCTAGTCAGCATTTTTTTAGGAGAAATAAAAACATAAGCAAAAGTTATTAGTAAATTAGCTTTTGTTTTGTTTTGTTTTAGCATTACTATACAAAATATTTTTCTTATTATGTTTTATGCAACTTTAGTGACTCTCAAAGTGTTGATGTTTTTTCTCTAACCAGGTTTCTGCCACAAAATCAACTTGGGAAACTGAGTTCAGAAATATCTCAGTCCCGTGGAATTCTAAATACTAAGACTGGATGGGGGAAAATGGTGAAATGTTAGTCAAAGACGAACAAGTGAGACAAGCGAGACAAGATGAATAAACTCTGGGTATCTATTGTACAGCATAAAGACAATAGCTAATAATGTATTGTATACATGAAAATTGTTAACAGAGTAGATGTTCAATGTTCTCACCTCCAAAAATTTGTAAAGATGTGAGGGGATGTATATGTTAATTATCTTGATTTAATTATTTCACAATGTGTACACATATCCAAACATCACATTTTACGTACTAAATAGATATAATTTTTACTTGTCAATTATACCATAATAAAGCTAGGAAGAATAAAAAACAAAAATAAACTAAACCCCACATAACCTAAACTGGAGTAAAAATGAAGACTACAAATGAAAAGCGATATTGACTACTTGAAATTAATCTAATAGACAGCAGAGTCAGTTATTTTCTCAACTGCTGTTTGAGCCTCCATAAACAGAAAAAGGCTTTACAGTAAGAAAACAAACTATGTTATGATCTACCAAACACTTTCTTCTTTTCTTATGAATGTCTGAAGTCCAAATATATTTACAGTGTTCTAAAAAAGAATTACTTCCTAAAGGTAAAAATGCTGATTGACAAATGTTATATTGACAGTATGTTTTAGTTTTGGAATTGCCTTAGAAATACTGCATAACTACAATACTTAATGTTTATATTTAAAAACATTTATTTCATAGACATGCACACTGAAATTGTAACATCCTCTTTAGAAAAAAGCAGTGCAACTATGACAAGTCTCTGGAAAAGGTATTTTAAAAAATAACAGTGTAGCATCATGTTTTATATGCTGCTTTGAAACATATCACTAGGGTCTCAACCTACTGATCAGTTTACATGAAACTTACTTCTGAAAAGCAGTGAAGATGACTAAATGCAACAATGCTGTCAATATTTTTAACTATCAATATTTTTAACTCTCAAGATTACATAAGAAACAACAAGGAAGCATTGGATATCTGTCCCTGAGTGTGTGAAGTAAAAATTTTTTGGCAGTGAAAACAAGATAATGTTATAGCTATATCATTAGTCATCATACAACCTTATCTACCACTGGTTATATATTATCTACAAAACACTAAATCAATGTTCACATGTAGCTAGGAGGTAAGTATAGATGTTTTACTTTTAAGAAGAGTGAGAATTAGTACATATATAAAAAGCAAATGTCATGAAATGGAGTAACACTTTATGAAAATGTTGGAAAAAATAGCATTTTTTCCCAAATATCTATTGGATCCAGACGCCATTTCAAGTAGTAGTAAATAAAAGTTTAAAATTTCAATAGCAATTCTTAATGGAAACATATTTTTGAACAAAAAAAAATGGCTAGAAAAAACAACAAGAAGAGAGTAAAATATATTATTAAATTAATTTTGATAACTTAAAAATAGAGGAAAATTCTGCATAGCATAGTCATCTACCCAAACAAAAAAAGATAAAAGTAAAAATTTTCGAATTTTGATCAGATTGCCTGTCATGACTTTCTACTGTTTTGCTTTATCTCTTTAAAATGTTAAATGGGTAAAGATATGAGTTTTCCTAAGTTTTAGAGAATTTTCATATTGGCCATAGAAACATTTCTCAAATGTGGAATTTTTCAGGCTATTCTTGATATTCCCATTTGTGAAAATATGGGAAAACAATCAATCTCTCCTCTCAGCATACGCATTAAAATAACCAATAGTTTTAGAATAAAGGAAGGACAAAGATTTCAGTAAAAGAATAAAACAGGAGGTAAATAAAAGAAAATGATTTCCTAATTTCTAGCAAAAGAAATTATATATATCTAAAAAGTGAGCTGGTGCTAAATCTTGTCTATATTGTAGGATTATCACCAAGAAAACTGAGAAGGAAATATTTTCATAACTGATAAATAAGCTATATAAATTTATTTGGAGATTCGGGTATGTTTTTTAATGTGTCTTGTATAGTTTAATTTTAGAAAATTTTCAGATGTCTCAAGACATACTAAATAAGATTATAGGCCAGGTGTGGTGGCTCACACCTATAATCTCAGCACTTTGGAACACCAAGGTGGATGGATCCCTGGAGCCCATGACTTTGAGACCAGCATGGGCAAAATATTAAGACCCCCATCTCTACAAAATAAAAATTAAAATATTAGCCCAGCATAGTGCCACACACTTGTAGTTCCAGCTACTTGGGGGTGCTGAGGATCACTTGAGCCCAGGAGCTGTAGTGGGCTTCGATTGTGCTACTGCACTCCAGCCTGGGTGACAGAGCAAGACCCTGTCTCTAAAAATAAACAAATAAATAAATAAATAAGATTATCTGAAACCATTTATTCTTGAATTATTACTGTACTTGGAATTATTCTGATGGTTTGTTTTGCCCATGTGTTGACTGTGTATCTTCCAGTCTTGCAAAACTCACTTATTAGTTCTGGAGGTATTCTGTAGATTCTTTTGGGTTTTCTACATATACAGGCATGATGTATAAATAGAGTCTGTTTTATTTTTTGTTTTGCAATCTGCAATTCATTTTTATTACCTGACTGCACTGGTTAGAATTTTCAGTGACAGATCTAAAGCTGGAGTATTTAATGTCAGCAAAGGATAGTTTGATAATTTTGGAAAGAGGTTTGGCTTAAAATTTTTTTCAAGAAAACTTTTCAAGAAAAGTTTCTGCCAACCAAGAGGCACAGAATTCTCAGATGCCATTAAGAAAATCTCTGAGAAGAATGAATATCTGCCTGCATAGGTTATTAATGCAGACGTAAGTGACCTATTATGGGGGAAAAAAAAATTCTACAAAGGGTATGTATTAGTAAGGAAGAGAAGTGAGCACCAGGATTTAAGGCAGAACGGGATACGCTAACTCTACTGCTTTGTTCAAATGCAGTGAGGATTATGATTAGGACTACCCTTATCTATAAAGCTGCAAATTTCTGAGCGCTGAAAGAAAAAGTTAAATACCAGCTGCCAGTCTTTTGGTTGTACAACAAGAAGTCCTCAACAACCAGAACACGTTTTCTGGATTGGTTCCACCGATGCTTTGTTCCTGAAGTCAGAATGTACCCTGCCAGTAAAGGACTGCCTTCTGAAGCTCTTTTGATATTGGACAATGCCCCTGGCCACCTAGAACCCCATGAGTTCAACACCAAAGTCAACAAAGTGGTCTACTTGACCTCAAACACAATGTTTCTAATTCAGCCTCTAGATCAGAAGGTAATATAGAACTTTAAGGTTCATTACACATGATACTTTACAGTGAAGGCTTGTCAATCATATGGAAGAGAATCCTAATAGAGAGAATATTATGAAAATCTGGAAGGATTGCAACACTGAAGATGTCATCATTGTTATAGAAAGTCTACGAAAGACATGAAGCCCCAAACAATAAATTCCTGCTGGAGAAAGCTGTGTCCAGATATTGTGCGTGAATTCACAGGATTTATGACAGAGTCAATTGAGGAAATAATGAAAGAGATTGTAAATGTGGCAAAAAACGACTGGGTTATAAGTTTCAAGATATGAATCATGGAGAAATTTGAAAGCTATTAGACACCACAGCAGAGGAATTAACAAAAGATGACTTGATGGAGACAAGTACTTCCAAAACAGTGCCAGAAGTTGAAGAAGACATAGAGGAACCAGGGCCAGAAAACAAGTTGACATTAGACAATCTGGCAGAAGGCTTTTGATTTTCAAGACTGCTTTTGATTTATTTTACAATATGGATTCTTCTATGATATGGGCACCAAAATTAAAGCAAACGGTAAAAAATTTAGTACTCCATAGAAACGTATTTAGATAAATGAAAAGGCAAAAAAATCAGACAGAAATTGCAATGTATTTTTGTAAAGTTACACCAAGTGTGCCTGCCTCTCCTGCCTCCCCTTCCACCTTCTCCACCTATTCCACTTCTGCCACCCCTGAGTCAACGAGACCAACCCCTCCTCTTCCTCCTCCTCTGCCTAGTCAGTGTGAAGACTGTGAGGATGAAGACCTTTTGATGATCCACTTCCACTTAATGAATAGTAAATGTTTCATCTTCCCTGTGATTTTCTTAATAACATTTTCTTTTTTCTAGCTTACTTTATTGTAAGAATACAGTATATGATACATTTAACACAAAAATAGTTAATCAACTCTTTATGTTATTGGTAAAACTTCCAGTCAATAGTAGGTTACTCAGTAGTTATGTTTTGGTATAGTCAAAAATCATAAGCAGATTTTTAACTTTGTGTGGGGTCAGTTTCTTTAGCCTCTGTCTTATTCAAAAGTCCACTGTATGCATATTTTTTTCTCTTTCTTTATTCTTAATATTCAAGTTTCCTGCTGGTATCATGTCTATTCTGTATGAAGAACTTCTGTTAATTTTTTAAAATTTTTATTTTTTTTAAATTTTACTTTAAGTTCTGGGATACATGTGCTGAATGTGGTGGTTTGTTATATAGGTTTACACGTGCCATGGTGGTTTGCTGCACCTATCAACCCATCATCTAGGCTTTAAGCCCCACATGCATTAGGCATTTGTCCTAATGCTTTCCATCCCCTTGACCTCACCCACGACAGGCCCAGTGTGTGACGTTCCCCTCCCTGTGTCCATGTGTTCTCATTGTTCAGCTCCCACTTATTAGTGAGAACATGTGGTGTTTGGTTTTCTGTTCCTGTGTTAGTTTGCTGAGAATGATGGTTTCCAGCTTCATCCATGTCCCTGCAAAGGACATGAACTCATTCTTTTTTAAGGCTGTATTGTATTCCTTGGTGTATATGTGCCATATTTTCTTTATCCAGTCTATCAATGATGGGCATTTGGGTTGATTCCAAGTCTTTGCAATAGTGCTGCAATAAACATATGTGTGCATGTGTCTTTATAGAAGAATGATTTATAATCATTTGTGTATATACCCAGTAATGGGATTGCTGGGTAATAATTCTTTAAAACAAGTCTGCTCACTAAAGATTCTCTGAGTTTTCTTCCAGCAGAGAATGTTTAAATTACCTTTACTCCTGAAAAATATTTTGTGCTGGATATAGAGTTATGGGTTGAGAGTTCTATTTTGTTTTTCTTTGAGTACTTTAAAATACTATGCTAATTCCTTCTGGCCTACATACTTTTAAATGATGAGTCCACAGAAATTCAAATAATTGGAATCCTACAGCGAATATGTCATTTTCCTTTGGCTGTCTTTAAAACTGTCTTATTGTTAAATTTTCGCCAGTTTGATTGTGATGTGTCTGCATGTACAGTTTTGGGCCCCTTCAGCTTCTGGAGTATGTGAGATTATGCCTTTTGCCAAACTTAGAAATATTTCCTCATACTTAACTTTTTTTCAGTCCTACATTGTTTTCCTCTCCTTCTGGGACTCTGAGACACAAATTTCACAGCATTTGCTATGGTTCCATAGCTCATTTTTATTCAATATGTTTTGTCTCTGTTGTTAAATTGAATACTTTCTGTTGACTTCTCTTCAATTTGACTGACTCATTCCTCCTACTTTCTGTTACTGAGTTTATTTAATGAGTTATTTTTTAATTTAGTTGTATTTTTTCAGTTCTAAATTTTTTTCCTCTTTATACCTATTTTAATTACTTTTTCTATTTTGACATTTGTTTTCAGGATTGCTTGGTCAAACATTTTTGTAAAAAATTAAAGTTTGTGTAAGGTATTGCCAACATCTCTGTCTATTTGTGGGTATCCATTATCTTTTCCCATGCAAGTGGAGATTGTCATGGTTCTATTCTGTGGCTGTGATTCCAACGGCAATTCAGTTTTTAGGCTGTGCTGTTATCTCTCTTCCACCATGCATGCTACCCAGTGGTCAGCCTTACCTCTGTGTGGAGGTCTATCTGCTACCACAGTTTTCAGTGTCTATTGTATTCTAATTATTGACATAGTCACACATGGGCAGCTTGTGTTGAGCCTAAGAATTCATAAACAGCCTCGCTTTCCCAAGCTCTTCTCTCTGCTGCCTCCTAGCACTGTCTAGTTGGCTGGAGGCTAATGAAAAAGTTAAATATGCTAAAACCACCACTGCTTTTTTTTTTTTTCTTTTTTTGAGACAGAGTCTTGCTCTGTTGCCCAGGCTGGAGTGCAATGGCATGATGTCAGCTCACTGCAACCTTCACCTCCCAGGTTCAAGCAATTCTCCTGCCTCAGCCTCTCAAGTAGCTGGGATTATAGGCGTCTACCACCATCCCCAGCTAATTTTTGTATTCTTAGTAGAGACGGGGTTTCACCATGTTGGCCAGCCTGGCTAAAACCATCAGTTCTCTGATTGTCCTGTAATTTTTGAAGACAAAAACAAAGGAAGAAAAAGAATCAATGGGTTTGACCCCACTCTGAGAGCCACGGCTCCATCTAACAGAAGAAATTTCAACTCCTATGGCATTGCTGCCTCTACAGTTGGCTACTTTTGTTGCCATCTTGCTCCCAGCTTAAGGTGGCCTGGGGCATGGAATATAAGTGAGTGAAAACGTGAAAAATTTTCCCAAATCTTTTTGAGCCTAGAAGTCTCCATTTTTAACTCCTCAAGCCAGAACTAGAGAGTTTCTCTCTCTGTGTGTATCACAGTGCTCACCTCTCAGTTCCAGGGTAGTGAATACACAAGGAACGAGAACAATAAAAAGTCAAATTAGCTGACATTTCTTTAGTATTTTGAATTTTGGTGCTTCTCCTGAGTCTACCTACTTATATTTATGTTAGCAAGATCTCAAATAGTTATTCCACATATTTTATCTAGGTTTTCTAGATGTAGTGTTTTCTAGATGTAGTGGGAGAGAAATGTCGATGCATGTTTGCTTTATTTTACCCAGAATGGGTACTTCTGGTTCAATCATTTCTTTAAGAAAAAACTTTTTTAAAGGTTTTATGAAATCCAATCTGTATGTTTAAAATTGATATCATTCTTCTAAGTCACAATATAAACAAGTTCTTGATCCTATATAATAGTTCTTGGCATTCCCATGTTCTTATGGGAGAAGATATTTCAAATCACAACTACGAAAGACACAAGAGGCTTGTTTTAGTCACCAAACTGTAAATTTCTCTCAGATACTTTACAACTCTTCTCAACTTTAGTTTCTCTTTGCAACACTTCTCATTTGCAATAGATGACCTAGCTTAATGAGAGGCACAATTTCACCAACTGTGAGTTTATGTTTTGTTTTGTTTTTAATCATTCTCTTGAGGTAACTTTATTTTTCTCTACATTTCCACCTCTTGCAGAGAAAGTTTCTTAAACTTAATCTGCCTAAGATTTTGATTCCTTCCCTAATGCCTACCTTGGCCCGCTGATATGTGATTATTACCGTTTCACCATATCTTCCTTGTTACCCATGTCACAGAATCCTTGGACTGTCACTTCACGAGCTAGAAACCTCTTTGGCCAGCAGCATGTCTGCCTGAGTAATTGATTGTGCCCCTGGGCTTGTTATGTCCACTCATCCCAGCAGGCTATGCTCGGCTTGTGCTACCAGCCAGAATCACACACCTGCCAAGGGTGCACCAGGCACGTAGTGGAGAGGAGTGTGTGGGCAAGCAAGCGCATGGTCTGGCTACTGTGCACAGCGGGGTGGGAAGCTACAGGTGCTGGCACAGGTACCAGTTCTGTGCCAAGCTGTGCCAGGACCAGATGTATTGCACGTGGCTTCCACTGTGGGCACCCATGTCTGGATGAGGAGAATGCAGTGGCACCTGGAAGTTTGGAGATGCCAGGAACTGCAGAGCCCAAAGAGAGTGTCACAGGTCTAGCTTGGGGAGCTCCTAGGTATAGGCACCCTGAAGGGCTAAAGCTCTTCTCTCCTTCTCCTCATCTACAATGTGGCAAGCAGGGGGCATGTTTCAGGCCTGTTTGTGTTACAGCTCTTTTAGTCCTGCCATTTAGGAGTTCCCAAGTTCTTGTCCCACATCCAGGAAGAATGAGGTATACAGACAACTGGAGTGAAGGGTGAGCAAGGTGTAGAGGAGCTTCATTGAGTGGCAGAGCAGTTCTCAGGAGACCCAAAGTGGGTAGCTCCTTTCCACAGGCAGGTCATCCTGATGAGCGTCCAGCTCTCAGCAGACAGAAGACCCACAGTGGGTAGCTCCTTTCTGCAGGCAGGTCGTTCTGACTGGCTGAGGAGATGCCAAATGGGTAGCTCCTTCCCACAGCTGGTAGTCCCCTCTGTGTGAGTCTGGCTGGGTCTGGGGGTTTTTATGGGCTCAGAAGGTAGGAAGTGCCTGCTGATTGGTCCATGGGCAGCCAAGACTGGGCACAGAAAAAGCACCATAAGTGGCTGACTTCCCCAGAACTGACAACTTGGCCCTGGGCTTCAGGCCATCCCTGGCTTGAAGGTGGGGCTTCACCAAGGATCCATGCCTTTCCATACAGGAACGTTTCTGCCTCCTGCTGCCATTAATCATGTCATTCTTGGGGCCCAGGCTGTTTGCGCCAAGGGAGTCCAGAAGTCCTGTGCAGAGCCATCCTCAGCACCCCCTTGACCGCCCTCTTGTGCTTGTCAGTGCCCAAATTCCAGAGAAAGCCAAGGCAGCAGGGGGCTGGCATGTCAGTGCCTCCTCAAGCACACACCTGGCCAGGTTGGGGCAGCACCCATGCTTGGCTTTAACTTTGCTACGAAATCACAGTGGGTGCTGGGAGTTGGGGAGAGACAAGGCAGCGGCAGCAGACACTTCTGAGCCTGTGAGGGAAGCGGGGCTTCCCAGGCCCTTAAGAGCACAGGAATGCTTGGGTCCTTAAGTTGGCAGCCATAGCTAGGGGGCTGCAGCTGTACCCAGGAGTGCAGCGCTCCACCTGCCAACTTGGAAAGGGTCAGGGCTCCCACCTGCTCCAGGCTCCCTCCAACTCCACGGAGCATGCAGCCCCAGCCACACCTCCCCAGCTGCAGCAGGAATCCCCACAGAGGCTGCTCCAGATGGGCCACCACTGCCATCTATCATATATGTTTAAGTTTCTATCTATCTATCTATCTATCTATCTATCTATCTATCTATGTATCTGACTGTCTGTTTCTCTATCTGATGTATCTTGAGGTAGACATAGAGAGATCTTAATCTCTACATCTCTACTGTCATTTAGCTAATTTTCTATGCAGAAAATTCTAACAAAACCTTTATTTATTCAACGATCTCAGCTGCCACCTACCAGCTAAGAACTCTTCTAATCTTGATCCTCCAAATTCCATGATATTAAAACCAAATATAAATTACTTAGCTCTCAAATTTCAT